>NC_000009.12:33494848-33646363 GCF_000001405.40 Homo sapiens | reverse complement strand
GGTTCCTAACGGCACAGGCCAATATATTCTCTACTCTGGGCTGGCTCACGTACCTCTCAAATCGTATTTATAATCCACTTTTGCTCTGACCTATACTCTACCACAGGCAGAACACAGACTTCTTTGTCTTACCCACAGACCATGTCCATCTGTGTGCTGTGCGTATGTACGTGATTCTAAGGACTGTTGAACCCCTCATTCCATGTGTGAGTTATTGATCTGTATAACACACATCCTCTGACATAAAAGGCTGCCAAAGGATAAGTAATTTTATTTCTTTACTACTGCTTAGAGTTTTTGGTGTCCTAAGAGAATTTTGCCTACTCTCAACTCACAAAGATGTTTTTCTGTATTTTCTTCTAGAACATTTGTGGTTTCAGCTTTTATAATTACATCTATGAAACATCTCAATTTAATTTTCATTTATGGTGGTAGGTGGCAGTAAAGGTTCATTTTTTCCATATGATTATCCAGGTTTTCCAACATACTTGTTGAGAATTACCATCTTAATGCATTGAAACTTCCAATCCATAAGCATGATATATCTCTCCATTTAAAAATATTTTCTTTAGTTTCTCTTTGTGGAGTTTTGTAGTTTTTAATTGAACATCTATTGCTAAATTTTTCTTAAGTAATTTGTTATTGGTACTATTGTAAATGGTATTATTTTCTGAAGTTCGTGTTTCAATTGTTTGCAACTAGTAAAAAAATTTGATTTTTAAAATACTGATGTATCCTGTGATATTGGTAAATTCACTAATTATTTCTAGTTGTTGTTCCTTGATTTCTTATGATTTTCTATGTAAACAATCATGTAATCTGCAAATAATTGTACTTTTACTTCTTCCTTTTCAATGTTTAAAACTTTTATTTTTGTTGCTTTATCACGCTGGTTAAGATCTCCAATATAATATTGAATAAAAATAGTGAGCAGCTTAGCACAATAATTTATTAAGCCCAAGAATTCAAGTCCCACCTGGGGAATATAGTGAGCCCTCATCTATAATTAAAGCAAAAAGTAATGAGTAAACTTCATGGCTTGTGTCTTATTATATTATAGGAGGAAAGTGCTCAACACGCTATTCAATCAGATGTTATTTGTAAATTTTTCATTTACAACTTTAATCAGATTGAGATAACTGTCTTACCAGTTTACTGATAGTGTTTCTTTTGATTTAGTACTGATTGTGTCAAAGGTTTCTCTGCATCTGTTGAGATGGTCAAGTGATTATTCCTCATTATTCTGCTGATATGGTGAAGTATATTGATTTTGGAATGCTAAACCACTGTTTCTCCCGCAATAAACTCACTTGGTCATGTTGTAGAATTGTTCACATATACACATATGTATATGCACACAAATATATACATATATTCATACATATTTGGATTTATTACTTATTTATTTTTGATCCAAAAGTATATTTTCTATTTTTTGAAGAAAATTAATTTTTGGAAGACTTTGCTAATCAAAATTTGAGTGAATTATCTAGTTCCCGCCCCCCCCCCCCCCCATAGAGTACTTTATAGCAACTCTACTTTTTTTTTTAGTTCTGGAGTACATGTGCAGGATGTGCAGGTTTGTAACATAGGTAAATGTGTGCCATGGTGGTTTGCTACACCTATCAACCCATCACCTAGGTATTAAGTCCAGCATGCATTACCTATTTTTCCTAATGCCCTCCCTCCCCCCACTCCATCCCCCAACAGGCCCCAGTGTGTGTTGTTCCCCTCCCTGTGTCCATGTGTTCTCATTGTTTAGGTCCCACTTATAAGTGAGAACGTGCAACGTTTGGTTTTCTGTTCCTGGGTTAGTTTGCTGAGGATAATGGCTCCCAGTTTCATCCATGTCCCTGCAAAAGACATGATCTCATTCCTTTTTATGGCTGCATAGTATTCCATGGTGTATATATACCACATTTTCTTTATCCAGTCTATCGTTGATGGGCATTTGGGTTGATTCTGTGTCTTTGCTATTATGAATAGTGCTGCAATTAACACATGCATGCATGTTTCTTTGTAATAGAATGATTTATAATGCTTTGGGTATATACCCAGTAATGGGATTCCTGGGTCAAATAGTATTTCTCATTCTAGATCTTTGAGGAAGCACCACATTGTCTTCCACAATGGTTGAACTAATTTAGGTTCTAACCAACAGTGGAGAAGCATTCCTATTTCTCCACAACCTTGCCAGCATTTTCATAATGGCTTTTCTGACTGGTATGAGATGGTATCTCATTGTGGTTTTGACTTGCATTTCTCTAATGATCAGTGGTGTTGAGTTTTTTTTTTTTTTGGTATGTTTGTTGGCCGCATGAATGTCTTCTTTTGAGAAGTGTCTTTTCACGTCCTTTGCCCACATTTTAATGGGGTTGTTTGTTTTTTTTTCTTGTAAATTTGTTTGGATGTCTTGTAGATTCTGGATATTGTCGGATGGGTAGACTACAAAATTTTCTCCCACTCTGTGGGTTTCCTGTTCACTATGATGATAATTTCTTTTGCTGTGTAGGAGCTCTTTAGAACCCATTTGTCAGTTTTTGCTTTTGTAGTAATTGTTTTTGACGATTTCATCATGAAATCTATGCCTGTGCCTATATCCTGAATGATATTGCCTAGATTTTATTCTAGGCTTTTTATTGTTTTGGCTTTTACATGTAAGTCCTTAATACATCTTGATTTAGTTTTTGTATAAGGTGTGAGGAAGAAGTCCAGTTTCAATTTTCTGCAAATGGTTAGCCAGTTCTCCCTGCACCTTTTATTAAATAGGGAATCATTTCCCCATTGCTTTTCTTGTCACATTTTTCGAAGATCAGATGGTGTAGATGTGTGATCCATTTCTGAGTTCTCTGCTCTGTTCCATTGGTCTATGTGTCTGTTTTTGTACCCGTACTATGCTGTTTTGGTTATTGTAGCCTTATAGTATAGTTTGAAGTCCGGTAGCATGATGCCTCCAGCTTTGTTCTTTTTGCTTATGATTGTCTTGGCTATTTGAGCTCTCTTTTGGTTCTATATGAATTTTAAAGTAGTTTTTCCTAATTCTGTGAAGAACGTCAATGGTAGTTTAATGGGAATAGCATTGACTCTATAAATTATTATGTGCCGTTTGGCCGTTTTCATGATATTGATTCTTCCTATCCATGAGGATGAAATATTTTTCCATTTGTTTGGGTCCTCTCTGGTTTCCTTGAGCAGTCAGTGGTTTGTAGTTATTCTTGAAGAAGTCCTTCACTTTCCTTGTTAGCTGTATTTCTAGGTATTTTATTCTCTTTGTAGCAATTACAAATGGGAGTTCATTCATGATTTTGCTGTCTGCTTGCCTGTTGTTGATGTATAGAAATGTTTGTGACTTCTGCACTTTGATTTTGTATCCTGAGACTTTGCTGAAGTTGCTTATCAGCTTAAGAAGCTTTTGAGCTGAGACAGTGGGGTTTTCTAGATATAGGATTTTGTCATCTACAAACAAAGACAACCTGACTATCTCCCTTCTTATTCGAATACCATTTATTTCTTTCTCTTGCCTGATTGTGCTGGCCAGAACTTCCAATACTATGTTGAATAGGAGTGATGAGAGAGAGCATGCTTGTCTTGTGCTCGTTTTCAAGGGGAATGCTTCTAACTTTTGCCCATTCAGTATGATATTGGCTGTGGGTTTGTCATAAATAGCTCTTATTATTTTGAGGTATGTTCCTCAATACCTAGTTTATTGAGAGTTTTTAACATGATGATGAATTTTATTTAAGGCCTTCTCTGCATCTATTGAGAAAATCATGTGGTTTTTGTCTTTAGATCTGTTAATGTGATGACTTATGTTTATTGATTTGCATATGTTGAACCAGCCTTGCATCCCAGGATAAGCTTTTTGATGTGCTGCTGGATTCAGTTTGTCAGTATTTTGTTGAGACGTATTTGGATTTAATCTGTTCATATATTGTGAAAAGTTTTCTTTCATTTGCAGCCGTGAAAGATACTGTTCTGTAATGCATTTGACAGATTTTGACATTAGGGTTCTGCTGGGTTTATAAAAGTGTTGTGAAGTGTTTCTTCCTCTTCTATTTTCTGAAAAAGTTTATGTAAGAAGGATAGTCTTTTTTCCTTAATTTTTTTTATAGAATTCATGAAGAAATAATTCAGGTCTAGAGTTTCTTTGAGAGAAGATTTTTGATAAAAAATTTAACTTCCTTCATTTGAAGTTCTTTACATTTCTTATTTCATTTTGAATCATTTTGGTAAATGGTGTTATTCAAATAATTTCATTTCATCTAAGTTGAAGAATGTATTGCATATACTTATAATATTCTGTCACTATTTTAATGTCTTTTGTGTCTATAGACATATGCTTTCCTTCATCATTGATATTGTAATTTGTGTCTTTCCCCATTTTGTCTTGATTGTTATGGGTTAATCAATTTCATCAGTTGATTAAATCATGACCATATTTTCCTCCAAATTCTTGAACATATTTCTATAATAGCTGCTTAAAATTTCTCATCTGAAATTTCCAACATTTGTGTTATTTCAGGGTTGGTTTTTATTGTTTATTTTTTTTCCCCATGTGTAACATTTCCTAGTTCTTCCTATGTCTAATATTTTTTTCATTTCAAGATCAAAATTGTAGATGCTACACTGTTGACACTCTAGAGATATATCTCTCTCTACAGACATATATATCTACAGATTATATATATATGTATATATTTATATATATATTTGCCTTTATTTAGAGAGTGCTGAGATATTTTTCTTCAAAAGGCAGCAAACTTAACTGGCAGATCAGTTAGATCCTTTTGAGACTTGCTGAGCTTTGTTAGGGCAGTTCTGGGGTGGTTTACTCTACGACTTTGGTAGTCCTTCTCTTGAGATGTGACCCCTATGTGGTGCCAGCTGCATTCCCAGGGGTTTCAGCAAGGCCTCTTAGCTCTGCCCGGTCAGGATTCCTATCTCCCATGCCCGTATGACTGTCAGAATCTCCATTCCTCTCACAGCTACCCAGCAACTGCTCTCTGCCAGGTCTTATGGAGGCTTTTCCTATGCATTTGCTGCTAAGTTTTTGACCAAAGAGTTAAGGAGACTTCATACAATATTTGGAGGTCTTATTCTGCATAGCTTCCTTCTCTGCAGTAGCTTATCCCTATCACTATCAGCCATGTCCACAGCTCTGAATTCAATCTCTGCCTCCCTATGCTGGAGAGACCACTGCCCCCTCCTTGGGCTTCATATCCTGGAGCTGCGGCCCAGAAATCATACCAAGACAGAGTCTTAGGACAATAGTGAAATTTCCCTTCTAGGTTTCCTCTTTCTCAGTGATGGCAACCCCATACTGCCTGTTGTCTGATGTCTGAAAATAGTTGTCTTATAATTTTTGTCAAGTTTTATAGTGGCTTAAGGCAATAGGACAAGTACAGTAACAACTATCTCTTTTGATTTAAAGCCAAATCCCAAAAATAAGCATTTTAAAGGTTTTTGTTCCATATTGTCAAACTGACACCATTATAAGTAGTTTAAAAGAGTAACACTTTGACTAGACTCTTAATCAAATTGGACAACAAAATTCATTTGTAAGTGTTCTCAAGCACATTTTTACTAATATCTCATTCCATATTCATATGAATTTTCTGTATTCATATTTTCTCATTCATTATTAAATTGTTTGTTGGATTTTTTTAGATTGTTATCTTTATGGTAAACCCTGATGGTTTTCAGGATATCATTTAAAATTTGTTTTCCTAAATTTATTTTTTCCCAGACTTCCTCAGGAATTTGTTTTAATTTATCCAATGATAAATCACTCCCAAAGAGAATATAATGTTCTAATGTTTTTCATGAAAGTAATCTATATTTTGTCATCCTTATACACATTACTTGAAATACATTTTTATGGTTCTTTTTACTCTTCTCCCTTTCCCCAGAAATCAAAATTCAATGTAGTGTAGCTGAAAGTTTCTCAGTGCCTATATGTCTCAGTGAATGGGAGTTGCTTTGCAAGCATTTGCGGAATCAAAATGGATCAGCTGTCATATCAAGAGCTCAAGGAGATTGGTGTTTGCAGTGGATGGAATTTGGCCCTAAAAGAGATAATGTGTGGGCAAGTATTAAGTCTTCCAAAAAGATGTGTGAAGTTTTTCTGTCCTTTGCTATAATCAGACAGCATAATCTACTTAGAGCAATGAAAATTAATTTGAATCAGATTTACCCCAGATTGTAAAAAAGCACAGCTAAATGAAGTGAAGCATTTTTTTCAGCAGTTCTGGATGGAAAGGGATGTCGATGGGTGACAGTAGTTTGGGGACAGCCATGGCTGGTAACTTTTCTATGCTGCTTAAAGACATGAGTAATAATGGAAGAGACAGCATGTTGAGCACTCAGCAGAGTGGAAGTGAAAGATAGAAGTCTCATTCACATAATGGAGATAACACGCATGCACCTACTAAGGTAAGAGACCACCTGGCTCCTCCCACATCTACTAATTCTTTGAAGTCTGGGACAGGGGTGGTGCCATATTGGGTGGTGGTATTTCCAGTGCCTAAAATTTCAAAAAGGAGACTAATATCTTGTATATCTTAGGACTTCCTACAAATTGTTGAGGAAAATATAGAACTCTCAATAGAGAATTTTGCCTGAGGATATGGATAGGCCATTTTGAGAACAGAAATCCAGGACCACTATCACATGAAGAAGTGCTCAAATTCATTAGTAGTTAGAAAAATGCAAGGGAAAGAAAAGGAGGGAGAGAACATTATTCAGCTTTCTAGATTGTTGCCACCTATTATTATAGTAGTATAAAGTAATCTCTCAGTTCCTTTAAATTATTGGTTTTATTTAGTTTTAAAAGAATTGTCACCTGTTTCTTTATGGTAAACACTGATGATATTCTGGTGTTGGGTGAGCAGGGCTGAGGGGATGGAGAGAGAGGGAGATTGGAACCTCTTTACATCGCTATACTGATAACAATCTAGATCACTGGATAAGGATTAAAGGAGGTATTAGGATGTAGGAAAACACCCTATTCACTTTTATGTGGGATTGCAGATGTATACGGTGATCCTGAAGAACCTGTGGTGGCATTTAGATAGATAAAATATGCATAGAATTACATGTCTCAGCAATCACAACTTGTTCTTGGTATATAATCCTATAAAGCAATCATACAAGTCTATGAAGGTATTTGTACAATAATTTTCAATTCTGGCCGGAAACCAGAGAAAATCTGGGTATGTATTTCTGAAGAAATGGGTATGAGTACTCTCTATCATACAGAACCAACAGACCGAATGTACATACTGAAAAACAGAGCATTTCCCTTGCTTGAGCTGAGTGGAAAAGTAACGTTTATGTGATTTTAAATACATACATACATGCCTACTGCTGAGTGCTCTATGAGAAGGTTCATGGCTGGATCATGACGGATCTGTTTTTTTCTCCTGGGATTTTGAACTCAGGCTTAGAAAGAGCTGGGGTGGTATTTGTCACTGTAGGGAAATTATGGCAACTGAATTTGTAATCTTTAGTGACCATCTCATTCTCACCACGAGGCCTGGAGAAAAAGGGATGGTGTACAGGGAGAGAAAAGCATGCAGCTGCAAAACTGAATAAAAATCAGAGCTGGAGAGATAGTCATTCTAGAGCCTGGCCCTAGTGGTGCCTTTTCAGAACTGTCTGTCCTTTTCAGAACTGTCTGTCCATCACCTCTTGACTTCTGCTAAACACCCTTTATCCTTGTGTTAAATTCCACTGTGGCTTAAGCTGGCTCCAGTTATTTTCTGTTACTCCCTTCCAACCTAATACATCACCTGCTTCCTGAGCTGGGTCTGTGGCAAGTTTGTGTGCTAACAGGAACTGACATTTCAGTGCTGTGGACGGACTGGTGGCACAGAGATACAGTGCGGTGTCTCCCGGTTCCGAGGACAGGATTGCCAGGCTGCAGGGTGGGTTCTTGGGGCATTGAGATGAGAATCGCTTCTTGTGCATCTCCATTTCTTGAAGAACTTGTTCATTCTGAAAGGAAATCAAAAACATAAACTCTTTATTCTGATTCTGCTGATACCAACAAACAAAAGTATGTCCGTTTTTGGGGGTACAATACATCTTTGTTTTCCTTCCTTTTCCTTTGACCAAATATCCTGGAGTCTGTGTGACTTTGGCATGAAAACAGCCTGTAAGAGAAAGAAACAGATGCTGTAGACAGAGTCCAGGAAAGACCTTAACAACAACAGCAAAGCTTGGATCTGGGGGTTGGCCAGCCCAGGACAAGGGTTTTTATTCTGTGCTCAGAGCTCACCTGCTGCCAGGAGACAAAGAGCTACCCAGCCGAGAAGCCTGGTGCCCGTGGTCGCATTGACGTCGCAAAGGGATGAGGCTTTTTCATCCCCGTCTGCACCTTCTTGTGACGTGATTGCTCCACAGATTCATAATCATCTTGTTACTGCTTCATGTTTCTGAGCAAAAACACTTCATGGTATCGGGAAAAAAAGCTTTTATTCCTAACTCAGTAAATATAACTAAGTTATTTTGTATTCATTTAAAATATTGTATGTCTATTTTTGCTAATATAAGCAAAGCACTGATATTTTAGAAAGTTAGAAAATAAAATAACAAAATAAAAATATACCACTGCCAGAAAGCAATTATCACTGTTAACACATTAGTGAGAGTCTTTCTAGATCCTTCTCTCCCCATATATAAATGTGTAGATATATAGACACATTATTTTTTATTATAAACAATATTCTTGAAATTCTGTTTGATAAGCTTTTTTTTTCAGTTAATGATCATCATCCTTTCTCATCAATGCAGTTTCATCTTATCTGCTATTTAGTTTTTATGCAGAGTTTTACAGTTGTTTCAAAAATGTCCTTTGCCATTAATTTGAGCATCAGTTTCTAACTCACGACTAGACATTTCTTCTGGCTATTAATTATCTAATTATCTTTTAGTATAATATAGATCTCTATTGTAATTGCTATTTTTATGATTCTGAAACTAGCCACTGCTTTGAAAAATACTTCACCTTTTAGCTCTTTTTGGTGTATTTTAGCTTGTTCATTTACTAGTGTTTCTTTTAGATAACCTCCCTTTTTTGCTTTTCTTTCTGTAACTATTTATTTTAAATAGTGCATTTTTGGTGATTTATTTATTTTTTTACTTTTTTCTTCCTCCATCTCATCCTCATTTCAGGTAAGTAATGTTAACAGTTTAATGTATATCTTTCCATAGATTTCTCCTTACTTATTTAATTGTTCAGTGAGGTTGTTTCCTCCACATTACAAGATTGTCTTTGAATATATAGACAATAACTTGATAACATACCAACAAAATGACCACTTAAAAAAACAACTTGGCACAGGAAATAAAATATTACCAGAATATTTGAAAGCACTCATTTCTTTTCCCAGATCCCATGCCTCTGTTCTCTAACTCTACTGAGGTGTTTGCTTTTATATTTATTTGCTTCTCTTTCATATTTTAACACATAGGTACATAAGCAAACAAAAGTGTTTAGTTTTACATGCTTCCAAACTTTATACAAATGAGACAATACTGTACCTTTCTTCTGTAATGTAATTTTTCTTCAAATTTGTGAAATTCAGTCATGTTTGTGTGTTTAGTTTTAGTTCATGAATTTTTACTGCTGTGTAATTTCTTTATAATAATAAACCATAATTTATTTACTCTTCTGTTAAGTTACATTTGGATATTGTATGCATTTTTGCTATTACAGATGTATTACAGTGAATATCCTTGTCCTGATTTTCACAGAAGTGTTTCTCTAGAAAAGCCTTTCTCAAGGGTGGAATTGATGGACAGTGGGTACACACATCTTGAACTTTACTAGGTAATGCCAAATTGTTTTCCAACTTAGATCTACCAATATACACTCTAGCCAGTGATTCAGAGAATTCTTGTTGACACTTTTGCCTTGCCAACACTTGATAGATTACTATTTTTACCATCGTAGAGATTCTTGTGGGTATATATTTCGTTGGACTCAATTTCCATTTCCCTGATTATTAAATTTAGCAACATTTACATGTTTAATGACCAGTGAGATTTTGCTGGGAGCTTATGGTTTTCACTCACTTTTTCTATTGACAGTTACCTTTTTCTCATTGATCTGGAGAAAAATTAGTTTCTAGGTTTTTAAAAAATAAATTATATATACTAGCTTTTCTTGAATATATAAATATAGATAGGGATATTAATTTGGTATAAATATATAGATATTTAATGATATGTCACTATACAGTCAATCTTGTCACTCTTATATAATTAACTTTGATAAATTCAATATCAGTTTTTATATAGCCATTTTTATCAATCGGTTCCCTACTGATTGAGGGAATAAGAAATCTTTCCCTGCTTTAAGGCCATGAAGATGTCCTTTTATATTATACAGTATTCTAGAAGCCTTGTGATTTTATTACAATTATGCTTTTAATATAGCTGGGATTGATTTTGGCTATGTATTGAGATGTGTCCAATTGCACTTGTTTTCCTTTATATAGATACCCAATTTTCCCATCACCATTTGTTGAAAAATGTATTCTTTGATTATTGCAGTACCATTGCTGTGTGTTTATGCACATGTATTTTTTTCCTTGGATCTATTTATATATCAATGCCCCTATATTATACCACTTTTATTATTGTGGTTTTATAATAATTCTCTTATAATAATTCTTCATGTCTGTTAGATTTAGTCCTCTCACTTGGAGCTTCTACTTCAGTGCCTCAGCTATTCTTTTATCCTTTGCAGCTATTCTTTTATCCTATCCTTTATCCACTGGTAGGCAGACTCATGCAACTTCATTCATGGAGGTTTTTCATTTCCTACTTTGGTGATTTCTTGGAATCTTAGCTAAGTCTTATGTCTTTCCAAATGGAACCTCAATGGAAAAGGTTCTGTTCACCTCAGTAAACTAACATATAACATTTTACCGACTATTCCCTGTTACCCAAGAAGTGTTTGTGGCTTCTTCTGCCTGGGTTACCTTTATTTTTTTCCCTAATTTTCTTAGAAATATCAGACAAAACAAAACTCTCACTCTCTCTCTTTCCCTCTTTTGTTTTTACATCCCATGTTCTAATCACTCCTCACTCTCAGGCTTCTTTATTCTCCATAAGGAACCAGAATACTACAGTCTTAATTCCCATGCATTTTATCTCTGTGATCTAAATCTATATTTGGGTGGAATTTTCTGTCCCCACAGTTCAATTATTGACATGCTGTAATCTGCAGAATCTCAACCTCTAGTCCAGCTTTATGGCATCTCAATTTCACATCTTGTCTATGCAGTTGCGTACTTCTAGTTTTTATCTGATTGTTCCATAGACAGTTGAACCCTATTATCCCAAATGGGAACTGCTACTGCTAACGTGATTTCATATTGTTTGAAATTGTGCCCTTTGTAAATGATCAAAGTTATATGAGGAAAATTGAAAAATTGTATCATTTGCTTGTTTGCTGATAACAAGCTTCAGCTCTCTCTTTTGAGCAACAGCCTACAAAGGACTTTCATACTTATTATATTCATGGAACCAAAAACTCAACTTTTTCAAAAACTCCTTTCTACTTCCTCAGATATATTCCATTTCTTTTGATTCATATACATTGATCATCATCTTTCTCTTTGTAAACTGTTCCCCAAAGTGTCAAACTCTTTAATATGCCTTTGCAAAAGTTGTTCTCTTTGCCTGGAATGCTCTACTCAGAACCAGGTCTATCTGGTGAGGTTCTAATGGGACTTCCTCTTTGCTTTTTCTCATTCAATCAAACAGAATTGTGCATGTCCTCCCTGAAGCTCCCAAATGACTTCTGATTGTAGTATTATATATGATATTTTCCGTTCTATTATAATTACTTTCTTGCTAGACTCTTAGCTCCTTGGATAAAGGATCTATTTTCTTTTCAGTTTTGTATCCTTTGTGTTTGCAAAAGTAACAGGACATAGGAAAATCTCAAGAAAATATTAAAAATGAAAAAATTAAACTAGAGGATGTGGTGGGGACTACAGGGCTAGGACACATTTCCGCACAGAGAGACAATGGCTGTGCTTCCACTGTGGTGCACTCCCAGGACAGAAGTACAGAGCTGTTTGGCTGGTGTGGGCCAGCTTCACCATGAGAAGAAACAGCCCCTTCTCCTCTCGGGAGACACCGTAGCCTTCAGTTAGGTCTCCTCTCTGAATATCCTTTTCAACCCTTGAGTAATAGATCAGTCTCAGATTTTGCTTTGGGTCCTGCCAGTACCAGTACCAGTACATGTCATTGTGTCTCAAATTGTTTCTACTCCAGGGTCACATCCCATCCAGCCCCAGTGAGCTGGAATGGCGTCTGATAGATGTCAGCATCCAAGGGTCCAAGAGACAAAGGCTAGAGATCATGCCCAGAAGGGAGGTGCTGGCCGGGGAGGGGCCTGGCAAGCCCAGGATAGGAATTGACCAACTGGATGTGTGCTGAGCTCACCTGCTCCCAGGAGACACAGGGTCACATAGCAGAGGACACAGCTGCCCATGGCAGCGATGAAGTCTCTCTGAAGTTACAGACACAGGCTCTGAGAGAGAGAGAGGCTGAGATCTAGCCCCTCCCCAGGGCTTAATATAAAGAATTTGTCATTGCTACATGATGACTGATTGTCACAGCTGATTTTGCAGATGGTGAGACTAAGAATTAGAGAGATCAAGTCACATGCACCTCCTCTTCTGCTTATAGAAGCTTTTTATATCCCTTCTAAATGGACAAGTGCCTGCCTGCATGGTCAGAAGAGCCAATCCCTCATTTCCTGGTCAGAGTCATACACAGAGTGCCATGCACCTGTGCTCAACTCAACACAAGAAGGGGTTTGGAAGTTTAGTTTTTTGTGGTTGTTTTTTTTTAAAGAACCAATTCTCGACACTCTCTGTATTTACTATAAATAATTAATACAGTAGAGATGGGGTAGGCGCTACTCCTGTAATTTTAGGAATAGCAAAGCGTCTGAAGTGCCCCTCCCCTTGTGACAATGGATTAGAGCAGGGACTTGGGACACGGCATGGGCTTTAGTCCTGTCTGTGCCATTTAGCATCTACGTAACCTTGTAAAAGTTACAGAGCCTCTCTTCAATCTGACTTTACCTGTAAAATTGAGATAATAAGTAACTACCCCCAAACCTGTGATGAACATTACATAAATAAAGCATTTAGAACAGTTCTTAGTACATAAGAAACACTATATTTGTGTTTGCTATTATTACGTTCTGGACCTGATATTCTAATTCACAGGAAGTTAGGAAGTCAATACTATATCAAGTGAAATCAGACATTTATGGTCATAGGGTTGTACCAGCTGACTAAAGTATCATTTTCCAACACGAGTAGAAATTTGTATGAGTGTAAATTCACTGTATAACATAGGTTCTTCCCAATAGATTTAGTAAATAAAAATAGGATCCTAGATGATTTCTTTATTATTATTATTATTATACTTTAAGTTTTAGGGTACATGTGCACAACGTGCAGGTTTGTTACATATGTATACATGTGCCATGCTGGTGTGCTGCACCCATTCACTCGTCATTTAGCATTAGGTATATCTCCTAATACTATCCCTCCCCCCTCCCCCCACCCCACAACAGTCCCCAGTGTGTGATGTTCCCCTTCCTGTGTCCATGTGTTCTCATTGTTCAATTCCGATGATTTCTTAATGAATGCTTTTGTTTTGGTAGACAAATGTTGTTCTGAGGTTATCTGCCATTAAAAGATGCTTTCATGATGAAACTTTTGGTTGCAAGCTGGTGGGGTTTAGAAGCTGTTGCTATTTCCTCCTAGAAGAAAAACAGAAGGCAGAGAGAGAAAATAAAAGAGCAGGAGAGCGAGAGTGAGAGAGAGAGAGAGAGAGAAAGAGAGAGAATGCAAAGTAATTATTTAAAGTGAGAAGCATTAAGAGGTGCAGCAGTGTGGGTAAAACTCTGAGAAAGAATGCTTCCAACATGGTTGCTTCCAATGCGTGAGTCTAGGTTTCAGGTTGTCAATCATGCCTGCGTTGAGGATCTAATTCTGTGTCCAGGAGTTCTTCACATTGTACCAGGGACCTCTTTGTCAGACTGGTAAATCCTAGGGACCCCATCTCAGGATAACATTTTAAATGCACAAACTAGAATATAGAAAAACAATTATTTTGAAATGCAGACATCAAAATATTTTTTTAAATTTTCATATATTAATATAGGAACACTTTTAAATTTCATTAAATAAAATATAACCTGATGAATCTGAAAACTGTCACGATTTCAACATAGTGATGAAGGTATATTTACTGCATGTAACATGATATGAAAATATCTGACTTTTATATCAACTGTCACTTATGCAACATGTAAGCAAATGTTTGTGATTTCTGCAATTGATTTTGTCACTGGTATTACTAAAACTACTCTGGTTTACTCACTATATCTTAGAGGGAAAGGTATATTTCAGTTGGAGATTAGTTAAAATAAAGATCTATTTTCCCATTCAAATTTATGGATTCCCTGAATTTTATCTGTGCACTACTTGGAGGTCCATGGATCCCAGGTTAAAAACTTCTGCCTTAGAAGAGAATATGCATTATGCTGGAATCCACAGAGAGGAAATGTTTTTTAGGAAGTTCATATAGCCTCGGAAGTACTTAGCCTATATGTGTAGTTTGCAGATTTGTCAAGGTGTCAAGGGAAAAAAATTAAACTACTTCTTTAGACTGTTTACAGACTTCAATTATAACAAGTTTTATATTATACTTACCATGATTGTATTCTAGTCCTGGAAACATGGTACAAATTCTATCATCTATCTTTCTACATACTGTCTGCATTATCAATTATATTCATCATTATCCACGTCATCATCATGATTATCATGTATATTTTATTCCTAAGGAGCATTATTGGAATAGAAAACTACAGGGACGTAGTATGATAGTATATACTCTCTTTCATGAAAGAGTGAGGCTTTACGCTAAGAAACCATGTAATCAGAAATAGTATTCCTAAAATGGAATCACAAAATTATCTCCACACTACGTTTTAAAATAATCTCTACAGTACTATGTGTTACTAATTCTGAGACACCTCAGATCCCTATATTGGTAATATATACACTATTCTTAATGATAGAATTTAGACAGTTCTACTGTATTTAAGATCCTCGTTGTAGTCAGTGTTAAATAGTGTCCTATTTCCTAGACAAAGGAGTAATAAAGTTTGTCATTAAACACTCTTCCTGTATTGCAACAGATTCAACAGTATGTTCCCATTTCGTGCCTCCAATATGGTAATTCTCCATCTGAATACTTGTATCCATTTTTAAATTAGTGAATTGTATTTTTGGAGCAATTTTAAGTCCGCAGCAAAGTTGAGCAGAAACTACAGAATCCCAAGTATTCCCTGTTCTCACATGAACGACCTTCCCTACTACTGACACTCTGTATTGTAGAACTGTAGACCTGATGAAGGTGGCCTATGGGAGAAACAAGAATGGAATTCAGAGGCTTGACCAGCAGGGCTTCAACACCCAACCCCTCATTCCAAATCATGTGCTTAACTGCAAAATATTCCCTTTAATTAATCTTAACTCATAGGTATGTTTTCATTAACAAAATATACCTCTTCTTAAAGTACACCTTGCAGAAATTTCACAGCTTTTCCAATACATGTGAATGCGTATAATTTACCTGGAAACAGAGCAGCACTAACACTTGATTGGTTCACATGGCGAATGAGGCTGACGCTGTGAGCTCACATATGGTTGCTCCAAACCATATGCAATTTCTGGAGAAGGTATTTTTATGTAATATGCTGAGGTAGAGATGTCAATTGAAAAATGTAAAGATGAAATTGAATTAGGCTGAGTCAGGCTGATGTGAAATCTTGGCAGAGAATATTTTTATTGAGTACATTTATAATTTATTAAAATAAAATTTAGGAAAATATGTATGAGATCTGTATAATAAAAACTACAAAGCAATGCTGAGAGAAATTAACGAGACCTCAATAAAGAGATGTGGGGGACTTTTTGAGATGATGAAAATGTTTTGTATCTTGATTGTCATCATGGTTACATGGGTATAAAAATGTGTTAAAATTTGTTGAAGTATACACTTACAATGAGGGTGGGTTTTGTTGCATCGGTTGCATATGTTTATTGCCTACGTATTCTACATGTATCTTATGTCTCAATAAAGGTGCTTTAAAAATTTTTGTGATTGTAACATTCCAGAGGGTGGGAATTGCTAATGGTTCCTACTAAACTTCTATGGCAGGAAGAGCTGTGAGAAGCAGTCAAAAAGCCCTTTAGAGTCTGTCTCTAGTTCAAGGAAATGTGCTGGGTCAGATGATCAGGGTCTACCTGAAAGACACAGTTGATTTGCTTATTCTTATTTCTGAACTCACAGCTTTACCAAGTGAAAAGCACAGAATCCCATTCTTTAAATAAAGATTGTTAGAAATCCCTAAAGCTCATATGAAAAGAGAGACAGAAGGTAACTTAGTATATCTTAACTAATATCCTGAACACGGAGGAATCCGAGCTTTTTATGCCTTCTGCTTCCTTCCCTGGGGTTTTGTCCCCATCAGCTGTTTTAAGTACCCCTCCCCCTTTGTTTTTTGCTCACTTAGAGCTGTTATTTACAAGTTTTTCCTTCTGATTTATTGTCTTTCAAGTTGGCTTTCTGTTATTATAGTGTGTACCAACCTGACATACACTTATTTCCTGAGCTGGGTCCATAATGAGTTTGTGTTCTAAGAAGGGCTAACATTCGGCACTGTGGCTTTGCTGTTGGCACAGAAATACCGTGCTGTGTCTCCTGACTCCGTGGACTGGATCTCCAAGGTACAGGGTGAGTTTTGGGGGCATTGGGCTGAAAATCGCTCATTGATTATTTCTGCTTTCTGAATAATTTCTTCATTCTGAAAGTAAATAAAAAACTTGAGCTCTTCTTCCAGCGTCTTATGATACCAGTAAACATAACTATGTCTTTTTATAGGAACACAGTCCATCTTTGCTTTCTGTTCATTTGCTTTGACCAGAAATCTAGGTCTCTGGGTGACCTTGGTGTCCATGGAGGCTGTGGAGGAAGGAAAAAAAGCCCAGGAGGGAGCCTGATACTGCAGCCACAGGAGAGAGTCTTGGAACTGGAATTCACCAGTTCAGAACAGGGACTTACCTGCTCCCCAGAAAGAAAGGGCCACACAGCAGAGAAGTCTGAGGCACCTGGTTGGCTCAGACAGAAATCGTGGTGGTAGCTTTTTCTGTAAGGCTTCCTCACCCGCTCCGCCCGCTCCCCCCGCCCCCGTCAGCAACCTGCTTGTGATGTGATCACTTCCCATAGCCTTTGTAGATGCTCTGTACATGGGACAGAATCATTTCAATTTCAGAGAATGTAGGAGGGCAGGCTTTGTTTTAGCTGTTAAAAATAGTGTAAGTTTCAGCCTGCTTTTAGTTTTTTTTTTCTGTGACTCACTGTTTTGCTATTTTTTTAAGTAAAATCACTCATACATTTATTAAAAAAAATTATTATACTTTAAGTTCTGGGGTACATGTGCAGAATGTGCAGTTTTGTTACATTAGGTATACACATGCCATGGTGGTTTGCTGCACCCATCAACCCATCATCTACATTAGGTATTTCTCCTAATGCTATCCCTCCCCTAGCCCTCCATCCCCCAACAGGCCCCGTGTATGATGTTGCCCTCCCTGTATCCATGTGTTCTCATTGTTCAACTCCCACTTATGAGTGAGAACATGCAGTGTTTGGTTTTCTGTTCTTGTGTTAGTTTGCTGAGAATGATGGTTTCCAGCTTCATCCATGTCCCTGCAAAGGACATGAACTCATTCTTTTTAATGGCTGCATAGTATTCCATGGTGTATATGTGCCACATTTTCTTTATCCAGTGTATCACTGATGGGCATTTGGGTTGGTTCCAAGTCTTTGCTATTGTGAACAGTGCTGCAGTAAACATACATGTGCATGTGTCTTTATAGTAGAATGATTTATAATCCTTTGGGTATATACCCAGTAATGGGATTGCTGGGTCAAATGGTATTTCTGGTTCTAGATCCTTGAGGAATCGCCACACTGTCTTCCACATGGTTGAACTAATTTACACTCTGTTTACTTTTTTAACTTGTCAATTTGCTTCTTCCCCTCCTCCCTTCCATCTCAGGTAAGGAATCATACAACTCGGTCTTTACAGATAGTAGCTTTTGACACACTTATAAAATCACATAGCAGCAGCTTTACATTAAGTAATTTTTTCTTATTTATTTATTTATTTATTTTTGAGACGGATCTTGCTCTGTCTCCCAGGCTGGAGTTCAGTGGCTTGATCTCGGCCCACTGCAGCCTTTGCCTCTTGGGTTCAAGCAGTCTCCTGCCTCAGCCTCCTGAGTAGCTGGGATTACAGGCCCCCACCACCACACCTGGCTAATTTTTGTATTTTTAGTAGAGACAGCCTTTCACCATGTCACTGGCTGGTCTTGAATTCCTGACCTCAAGTGATCCGCCCACCTCAGCCTCCCAAAGTGTTGGGATTACAGGCATGAGCCACCGCGTCCGGCTACATTAAAGAATTAAATGTTGAACTATACAGAACAATATTTATGACAAATATGCAATGCATATATAGAAGCAATAAAATGAATACCTTTGCCTGAACCAATCAGCTTAAGAGTTAGATTATTGCTGAAAATTTCTCAGTCCATGTTACTCTTTTAGATTTCCTCATTGTTTCTCCATCATGCCCAGGTAGATGTAAACTGAAGTTTAAATTTGTCATTCACTTGCTTTGCATTATAGTCTGTAGCATTTACACAAGAATCTGTAAATTATGTAGTATTTAATTTTGTGTGTCTTTGAAATGTGTCTAAGAGGAATCAGCTAGTTTATATATTTTTCTGTAATGTTATTTTTTCATTCAACATTAGGTCTGTGATAATATGTTGACACATAATCTAGACAATTTACTTCCATTGCTATCTAGTATTACGTTATATTCATTGGCTAGAATTGATTCATTCTTGAATTAATACACACTAATTTTTCCCTGGGTGTTTGTGCTGCTACAAACAGTATGGTATTCTTGAACATGTCTCTGCTTACCTAGGTGGAAGATTGTTGCCATACCTGGCAATGTAAAGACTGAGTCTTCAAGTCAGCATGTCAACTTCATAACATAACAAAATGCTTTCCAAAGTGATTAAGCCAAATAAATGATCCCACCAACAGTTCATGAGTGTGTTCAAATGTTCCACATCTAGGACTACACTTGCTATTTAATATACTTTTAATTTTGCCAGTCTAGTTTGTTAATATTATCTCATGGTACAATATAGTTTTAGCTTGCTTCTTCCTGGTTGCTAAGAAGGTTGAACATATTTTATATATTATAGGCCACCAGTGTTGCTGTAAACTGCCCTTTGTCCATATTTCTTTTTGGTTGATTAACTGTTATTTATTTGTAACAGATTTTATAGACTCTGGATACCCAACGTTTGTCAGCTATATGTGTTCCTAATATCTTTCCAGTTTGTGGTTTATGTCTTTACTCTCTTTGTGCTACTTTTTGTTGGATTTCTTAATTTAGTAGAATGCATTATTCTTTTATTTGGGGTGAACATGTTTTTAAATTCTTTATATAAAAAAAACCCATAGCCCAAATTCATGAAGATATAATCCTTATTATTTACCAAAACACCTAACATTTTGAATTTTGCATTTAAGCATTTAATCCACTTGTGATTTATTTTAGCATATATTGTGAAGTAAGGTTTAAATTCATCTTTCCTTGTATGGATAACCACCTGTTCCAGAATAACTTATTGTATATTACATAATTCCTCCATATAGCTTCAATAACACCTCTATCATATGTGAAATTCCTATATATTCATGGACCTATTTTTCATTTTCTCTTTTCCATTTGCCTGTTTAATCACGCTTCTTTTTTTTTTTTTTTTTTTTTTTTGAGACGGAGTCTGGCTTTGTGGCCCAGGCTGGAGTGCAGTGGTGCTATCTCGGCTCACTGCAAGCTCCGCCTCCCGGGTTCACGCCATTCTCCTGCCTCAGCCTCCCGAGTAGCTGGGACTACAGGCGCCCGCCACCATGCCCGGCTAATTCTTTTGTATTTTTAGTAGAGACAGGGTTTCACTGTGTTAGCCAGGATGGTCTCCATCTCCTGACCTCCTGATCCACCTGCCTCGGCCTCCCAAAGTGCTGGGATTACAGACGTGAGCTACCGCGCCCGGCCAATCACGCTTCTTTCATTATCCTAAGTGATAACATAATTTGATAATTGGTAGAGCAATTCACGTCACTTTCTGTCCTTCTTAAATAATGCTTATTTTTGTTCTTCTTTTTCACTTAGTTGTAGATTATATGCCAAATTTCATGAAATAAATATTTTGTAGTTTGATTACTGTCGTATTGAATATATAGATAATACTGCAGAAATTAAAATAAACTTACTATTGGATTATTGGATTCACTTTTTCATGATCATGTTGTATATCTTTACTTATTTCAAACTTTTTTTTTTTTGTTTGAGACAGAGTTTCACCCTGTCGCCCAGCTGCCTGGAGTGCAATGGTATGATCTCAGCTCACTGCACTCCCGGGTTCCAGCAATTCTCCTGCCTCAGCCTCCCGAGTAGCTGGGATTACAGGCACCCGCCACCACGTCCGGCTAATTTTTTGTGTTTTTGGTAGAGACGGGGTTTCACCATGTTGGCCAGGCTGGTCTTGAACTCCTGACCTCAGGTGATCCGCCCACCTCGGCCTCCCAAAGTGCTGGGATTACAGGCGTGAGCCACCGCGCCCCTTACATTTATTTATTTATTTAGAGACAGAGTCTAGCTCTGTTGCCCAGGCTGGAGTGCAGTGGCATGATCTCGGCTCACTGTAACCTCTGCCTTCCGGGTTCAAGCCATTCTCCTGCCTCAGCCTCCGGACTAGCTGGGACTACAGGCGAGCGCCACCACGCCCGGCTAAACTTTTGTATGTTTAGTAGACCTGTTAGCTGGAAGCATGGTGAGCACCATTTCTGGACGCTCAGGCTGTGTCGGGCTTCAGTCGTCTCCACCACACAGGTACAGCAGCGCTTTCTGGTAGTCGCCCTTAGTGTCTTGCTGGATGTAATAGTACAGGGACTTGCCGTACTTTCTCTTGAATTCAGACCTAATTTTCAACATGTCCACTTCACTGCGGGAGACCATGATTCTGATCAGGACCTTATCTCGCGTCCCCTTGCCCTTCATGGAGTCGTACAGCTGATCAGCAAAATACAAGGGCTTGTTCTGAATGCGCTGGACCAGGTTCAGGAAAGCATTTTCCAGGTCTCCTTTAACCTCTTTCCTGATGCTTTCCAACATGTCATAAGGGCTGTAACTCTTGTACCTATCAAATACTTTCTGGAGGTGGGGCACGCTCCGCTCGGTCATGATGCTGATCCACTTGGGAACATCAGTTCCTTTCCTCTTCACTCCAGCGTCATAGAGATCCTGGGCATCTTGGTCAATCAGTTCATAATCAATGACAGAGCCATCCTCTGCTCTTCTACCCTTTGCCAGGGCAACCATCAGCTTGCGGAAGTCACCAGATGTGTCCGAAATAATGTCCTTCTCCAGATCAGTCTTGTACATTTCCTTGTAGACTCTGTTAATTTCCTGCAGCTCCTGGTTGGTTCTGGAGCAGATGATCTCAATGAGAGAGTCCTCGTCGGTTCCTAGCCCCTTCATGGAAGCTTTTAGCTCAGAAGCGTCATACTGAGCAGGTGTCTTCAATAGGCCCAAAATCACCGTCTCCAGGTGGCCAGATAAGGCTGACTTCAGTGCTGATGCAAGTTCCTTTTTGGTCCTTCTCTGGTAGGAGAAGACAATATCCTGTCTCTGTGCATTGTCGCGGTTGGTCACAATGTTGACAATGGTGACCTCATCCACACCTTTGGTCTTGATGGCTGTTTCAATGTTCAAAGCATCCCGCTCAGCATCAAAGTTAGTGTAGGCTTTGACAGACCCATATGCACTTGGGGGTGTAGAGTGATCACCCTCCAAGCTGAGCTTGCACAGGATTTCGTGAACAGTAGACATTTTGAAGGAAGCTGGGCCGTGCGCCGAGAGCTGAGAGCGTCCCCAAATGCTGAACACAGGTGAAGCTCTTGAGTCCGCACTTGATGAGCAGCAGATATTTTACAGAAAGATCCACATCACCCTCTAGTGGTCAAAGGGGCGAATTCATCCGATGCCCGCTGAGCTCTGCCTCGGCCTGCCTGGGTGGGGAGTGGCCCGCCCCGCAGCGAGGCAGCAGGGAGGCATCCCAAGTATCAGAGCGGAATTAAGAAAAAAGCAGCACTTGGTGTGGTACCAGGCACGTACTCCACAGCATTATTACTAGCAATTACTTACACAATTACTCAGCCATTAGTCTAATGCCGATGGTGGTTTATCAGTGCATTTTGCCTCCCTCAACCTTTTATAGTCCCCCAAGGCAGGTGTGCTGCCTAAATCTCTATCCTATGTTCTCTGCTTTTTTCATTGTAAACTCTATATCAAGGGATTGGAGGCACTTTCATTCTTCCAGTGATGCTAAATGTCCCAAAGGTGTACTTCTTATCCAGATCCATTTTCTGAGTCCATGACTTGTACATCCAACTGCTCCCTGCATATTCTTGTTTAGATTACTGTCCCAAAGGCACTCCCAATCTCAAAGTAAATCTTGATCTTCTTCCCACTTGGTCCTCCTTATTTGTCTGTCTGTCGCAGTCTCTTAATCACCACCCCCCACCCCCTGCATATTGCTGCTCATGTCTAATCAATTGCCAAGTCCTTTGATTTTCTTCCTTTTAAATGTCTCATTTTCCCCATATTTCTAACACCATCATCATTATCCCAGCTAAACTACTGCTTGCCTGAGCTAACTTTTTTCTCCGCATCAACTCTGTCCACACTGCTGGAGGGTGGCAGCATAAGCCCCCAACCCTCCGCCCAAAATATGCCACTTTGGCATAAGGATTATTTTGAGCTAGAGTCATTAAAGACAATAGCAGGTATAAGAGTACTCTGACCCTTCCCCTTTTCTTCTTGAAAAATGGAATAAGCCTCCCATATAAAAGATGTCTTATCTATACCAGAAAGAAAGAACATTCTTAACATGAAGGGTAGGAGGGGATGATGTTGAGGCCAAGGAATCTATACCAAAAAAGCTTGTTAAACTAACCCTCACCTTCCTAGTCACTTTGCCATTCAACCAGCAACCCTAGCCCAAGCCCCTTTTTCACCTTTCCACAATGTATGACTCTTTGCCCAACTGAGTATATGAGTATTGAATTCTAACTGCATATTCAGGTCTTCCTTTAATTATGGGGCCTTTCATGTGATGTAAAACTTATATTAAATACATGTGTATGCTTTCCTCCTGTTAATCTGTTCCATTCTCAGGCCCAGCCGAAAAACCCTAAGAGGGAAGAGGTAACATTTTGTCTTCCCTGCACAGTCCATTATTTCTTCACTTTGTGACCAGGGTGATTAAATACACAGATACACAGCCACGAATCTGATTACTACAGAAGTCAAATGTTGAAAACCTCAGTGTCTCCTGTTAAGCTTTATGTTGAATTCTGTATAATTTACCTTGACCAGTAAGGTTCTGAGTGGTCTGATGCCTTCCTGCCTTCTTCAAGTTTGCCCTGTACTCACCGACCTCCCCCCAGCTCCTGCCATGCTGCTGACTTCTTTTCTGTCATTAAACACACCAATTTCTTTCCTGATTAAAACATTTTGCATTGGTTCTTTAATCTTTCTTAAATGCCCTCGAATTCATTATCCCTCGTCCCACTTAATTAACTCTAGCTCATCTCGATGTAAGGTATTTAGGAATAATATTTAAAATTTCTTCCCATACCTTTTATTAAAAGGAGGATAACCATTAAATATACAATATCAGGGGCTTCAGACTCTCCAGGGAGTATTTCATCAATAATTACTTTCCAGAAATGCAACATAGTTCATTTTTTTAGGATAAAAGAGTCTTAACTGGTTTCCAAAAATGGCACCAGATAGGGGATTACAGATACAAGACACTCACATATTTATGGGTAGTTGAAATTGACTACTGGTCAGTTAATAGGAGTCACACTGCTTTCCACATTCCAGAATGGAAAAACAGCAGCAGGGGTATGAAGCTGTGAAGTAGTTAATCAAATATTCACCTTTGGACACCTGAGATGGTGCATGTACTGTAGCAAATGGGTTGAGACTCCTGGAACCAGCTCCAGAGATTATTTTTGACATTAAGAATGGAGATATCCAAGGATATAGAAGAATTAGAAAACCCTAGCTCCCTCAAAACTTCTGAAATTGGCCAGGTGCAGTGGCTCACGCCTGTAATCCCAGCACTTTGGGAGGCTGAGGTGGGCAGATCACAAGGTCAGGAGATCGAGACCATCCTGGCTAACACGGTGAAACCCCGTCTCTACTAAAAATACAGAAAATTAGCCGGGCGTGGTTGCGGGCGCCTGTAGTCCCAGCTACTCAGGATGCTGAGGCAGGAGAATGGTGTGAACCTGGGAGGCAGAGCTTGCAGTGAGCTGAGATCGTGCCACTGCACTCCAGCCTGGGCGACACGGCGAGACTCCATCTCAAAAAAAACCTCTGAAATTCTCCCCATGGCTTCTCCGTTACTGGGAAACACAGTGCCTCTGTGTGTGTGTGTGTGTGTGTGTGTGTGTGTGTGTGTGTGTGTGTGTGTGTTGGGGAGGAAGATGTAAGAGTCTATCTCTTACCTCACCCATCACTGCCTCTGAAAGGTGAACTTGATTTCAAGTACAACAAAGCCCAAAGAGTAGAATATAAAATCAGAACAGAAAGTCCAACACTCCAAAAAGAATTGCTCATGAAAAGTTTATGGCATTCAAAATTTATAGGAAATGTGATAGGATTTCATTTTGTTGGTACTTGTCCAAGGAAGACAGAACACAAATTTGGACTGAATGCTGTTCAACGCTGTTGTCTTCTTTCCTAAGGTAATGTAGGTAGGCAGTGGGCTGTGTCCTGACAAGTCAGCTTGTTTGGGAAAGGCAGGTCTGAACCCAGCACTGTTCCATGCTAAATGTCACTGAAACACTACACTCCTCAGCTTAATGTAGAGGGAAATAGTGACTGCATGAAATAGGAATGTAACAACTGTCTCCCTATTTCATGCCAGAGCCTTAAAAGCTCTTGTCTTTTCCATGCCATTAGTGAAGCGGTGGAATATTTTAAAAGAATTTTACTAGCTCTGTTCTCCAGGCTGAAAGCACGAACAGAGTAAAAGGCTACAATTAAAATGGGTCCTTGAGTTCAGTGACAATGGCACAGTCTGAGGTGACTGAACCCAGGTGGGGTATTTAACCACCAGCAGCACGTGGTCATAGTGGAGATGAAAAGCAGCAGCGTGTCCACTGCGGAATTTGCTCCCATCTTATTCCAGGCAGTTCCACCTTGGTCAGGGGCCAGGCGTCATCTCCATGCTTTCACGTTCACCCTTAGTGTCTAAACCCCTGCTCTCTGTTGCAAAGGGGTTGACAAGGGTCCAGGTCTGTTGGGTGGTAGGTTGTCCGCTGTGATTAGTTCAGCAGCCGATGTCTATATGAGGATGGTAGCAGGTGACCCACTGCTATTTCACTCCTGGTTTTGACTATAAAATGTTCTTAATCCTTTTCTTGTAAGAACTCTAATCTATTCATTTATTTGTTTTATTTTCTCTTCTTTTTGATTCTATATGCATACAATTTTATTTATCTTAACCTGTGGTTAATAACACACAGGACTTTCTTGTCAATGAATAATTACTTATTTAAAAACATAATAGGAACTTGTAAAATATCTCCTCCTCAACATTATGCAAGATAGACCTTTAGAATATTTAAATGTATAGCTGTGTAGTTCTCTCTCATTCTATCTCCTGCCATGCCCCAGCCTTATAAAAATCCTGAACTTGGGTCATTATTATTCCCTGCCAGTAGTGTGTTGGTAAAGGGTTGACAACTAACTCTCTGGAGGAAAATAAAGCAAAGCGTAATTTGTTGTGTTTGCTGATTTCTGTAGTGTAAATACCCTCACTATGGCCAGTTTCAAGCTAACAAAATGATGTCACTAAAACTGGAGTTGGGAAAGATGTATACAGTCAGCTCCCATGAGCTGATAAGGTAGGCTGCAGCATACAAGTGGTCTTTGCTTTCTTTTCAATATAATTTGATCTAATATATTTTAGTCCTGAAAATTACTTTCTTGACTTGTTTTTAGCTTTATGAAAAGCACGTTATACTTTGCATCATCTCATTAGGCTTAGTTTTTACATTTGCTATTATATTGCTAAGATTCACCTATAACCTTGCTCTTCACTATAGTTCATTCATTTTGACTCATATGAATATGCCGCAGTTTATTCATTCACTCTTTTCAGTGCATATGTGGGTTGGTGCCATGTTTTTCTACTGTTTGGTGCTGTTGAAAACACTTTTGTATTTATGTCTTCTGATATGTGTATGCAAGAGCTTCTCCTGATGTAAACCTAGGAGTGGAATTGCTGAGTCATGTATGCAAGAGCCTCTCCTGATGTAAATCTAGAAGTGGAATTGCTGAGTCATGGGATATAGGAATCTTCAACTGTGAGATAATGCTGAACTGTTTCCCAGTGGTTTATAGTACTTATGCTCCCATCAGTAATTTATAAGTAATCCTATGAATCCATACCCTCGCTAACATTTTATATTTCTAGACTTTTTATATTTTGCTAATCAAGTGGATATAAAGCTATGTATCATTGGATCCTGATCATCAATGAAGTAAAATATCTCTATATGTTTATTGGTCATACATGTTTCTTCTATTAAATGTATGATCATATGTTTTGCTCATTTTCTATTGGCTCATACAGATTTGTGGTCAATGTAAATGTTTGGTTTCTCCTAGGAAAGGATTTTCACTGTTCCACTTACTGTCTTCTAGCTACTGGCAGAACTTTCCAACTCTTTAGACAAGCCATGTTGTCTGAGGTCTTCCTTCTAGGTACCTCTGCCCCCTCTTTCCCTTGACACCTTTCCCAGGAGCCAGGTCACCAGCACCTTCCCTAGGGATACGTTCCGTATGGTGTGTACCTAGGCATAGAGGTGCTCCCCTCCCTTTGTACCGAGTCTTACCCTGTTCATTCATCAACTGAAACACCGTGGAGAACATGATGGCATTCAACATTTACAGGAAATGTGATAGGATTTTATTTTCGTGGTCCTGGTCCAAGGAGGACAGAACACAAATTTGGAGTGGATGCTATTCAATGCTGTTGCCATCCTCCCCTAAGGTAATGTGTTCATGCATAACTCTCTACTTGGCTGCCTCTTGGTTATCTTTGTCTTGAGAGCCCAGCATGATGACAAGAAAGAGAGCCAATTGCTGAAGTTTATTATAGGAAGTACACAGTGGTTATACAACTGTCTTCATATGTACCTCTAGGATTATATGTAGATCTATTCAAGAACACATGACTAATGTGGCAGAGTCAGGGCAAAATTCTAGGTTTTATAATTTTCAGGGAACTTTCCATGTTCACTTACCTCTTTAGGCCCAACTCTATTGCCATTTCGTGGGTCTCAAACACTACACCTCCTCCATACTCCACACTCACAGTGCTTCTTTTCTTTTTCTCCCCCTACCCATCCCCTGCCCCACCCCCTGCACACACACTCCCAGATGTCTCAGTCAGGAAAGCTGTGGTTTTCCATTCTCCACGCCTCCCTTCTCAGCACTCAGTGGGCCTGCTGGGGTGGAGGAGCAGCTGCAGGGGTTCTTGCCGCGGTCTCTGATCCCCTCCTGGCGCTGTGTCTCTAGCACTGCAGATGTAGAAGCTGCTGTCTTCAGGATGGGCACTGGTCACTGTCAGAGCGGAGAAGGTCAGGTTTGGATGGTTGATGGGAAACTTGTCCTTCTTGACGCCTTGCTCGTATGTGACCTCGGAGCCCTCATTGGAAGTTGCCATCAGCATGAGGCTCTGTTTCCGGAGCTGACGATACCAAAACATAGTTGTGGCCTGAAAGTCCAGGGAACGGCACTCGATGTTCACAGAGGTTCCACTCTTACAGATAACCCTGCTCGGATGTTGAGAGACGACAGCACTAAGCCCGGAGCCTGCTGAAACAGAAGCCAGAGAGAGGAGAGCCCAGTGGGAGCCGAGTCAGACAGGATGCCAGGCCGAGCTCAGCCTCCCTCCCTCCCCGTGCTCCCAGCTCCTGGAGAATCCTGTTTGTTTTGTGCAATCTTCCTGTCATCTCCCTAGGGCTATAATCCCCTATCTCCTCTGACTGGCGGCTCTCACCTTACCCTTTACACCTCTAGAGAGCAGGGCCGCTCCCTCTCCCTTCGATGAGCATAAACAATCCACATTGCCTGGCCACCGCTTGACCATGGCAACACACGCACATGCCCACCCAAGCTCCCAGGTAGAAGGAGGCTCATACCTGGCCCCAGAAGCAGCAGAAGCAGCAGCATCTTCCGTGATGGCCCCACACCACCTTCTCTGGGGAGAGTTGTGACCACTGTCTCCATTCACCAGCGAGGAGGGATGACTGATCACAGAATCCCAAGGATGCTCTAGTCTGCCCCCTGGTGGTAATCTTTGCTCATGACCCGTGTTACATCCATCTCTCTGCCTGTCAAAGAACCATACAGGTCGGCGAGGTGGCTCACGCCTGTAATTCCAGCACTTTGGGAGGCCGAGGCGGGTAGATCACAAGGTTAGGAATTCAAGACCAACCTGGCCAACATGGTGAAACCCCGTCTCTACTAAAAACACAAAAATTAGCCAGGCGTGGTGGCGGGCGCCTATAATCCCGGCTCCTCGGGAGGCTGAGGCAGAGAATTGCTTGAACCCGGGAGGCAGAGGTTGCAGTGAGCTGAGATCGTGCCACTGCACTCCAGCCTGGGCGACAGAATGAGACTCCGTCTCAAAAGAAAACAAAAAACCCATACAGTGTCTAAAGTGGCCTAAAGATTTCCCAATTCAACTTCCAAATTTATTAAAGATACACTGAGACGTAGAGCATTGCAATGACTTAAGCGAGTTTCTTGTAAGGAAAGGAGTGTATGTTTGGGTAATGAATGGCATTGGAGTCTGCTGCTTCTGTTTCATATCCTCAAAGTAATTACACCAAGACAACTCATGGTTGTTAATCACTAGACCTACAGGTTGGCACTACCATAAATATTGATAATGCCCAGGCCAGTGCCTCGGCTGGAAGTCCAATGTTTCTTCATAATCATGTTGAAGCCACTTCGTCATTTTCTAAATGAGATAGTTACCTCGTGAGTATCTCATGACAATTTCCCTCACATATAGATGGACTTAATTCTAAACATTCTAATAACATTTCTCGATTTAGCTTGTATGTTTCTGTGTTAATCACTGTTGAGGTTGTGAGAATAATTAGTTACATTTATTCTCTTGTAATGGAGGTCATACTAAGTACTGGACAGTGAAACTAGTTTCTAGGAGGCATAAGAAATTCTTTGATTTGAACATGCTGGGATACTTGTTTTAATGGATTGACGTTGAAAATGTGTAGCAATTACAAGGAGCTGGAAAGTTGTTTTGAAAGCCCTATGTTTTCATTTTTATAACAGCCTCCCAATTGTGCTTTCATTTAATATTTAGTTCTACTTCTCTGGCATAGGTAGCTAGAAAAGATAAGATTAAGACTTCGCCCATCATATTATGTTTGTGCAATAGTGAAATCATTTTATAACAAATATAGCTATTGCATTATGTTAATATTGACATATCTATTGAAGGGCATCTGTATGCTCCTGTGGCTGCATTTTTATTTCTTGGGTATGTTGGGCCTCATTAAAATGAGGCCACTTCATACTGTAACTGTACTTTTTCTGCAAAGAGTAAGTAAGGACAGCTTGCTATGGGTGACCTCTGGCCCAATATTATGATATGTCTGGGAGGGAGTGGCTGGAAGACCTTCAGATCGGAAGAAAATCTTCCTATTTATTTTGAGAAACACTAATTGTCAGGTACAGATGGTCTCATGATGGTTCAATGACTTTTCAGCTTTACAATGGTGCAAAAGCAATATGCATTTCAGTGTGCTCCTTGACTTATGATGGGGTTATGTACAGATAAGCTGGATATTGTAAGTTGAATTATGATGTTTTCAATCTATGCTGGATTTATCAGGATATTACCCCACTGCAAGTCAAGGAGCATCTGGATATTCCTGTGGTGTTTTATCACTGTGTCAACCTAGCTAAGCAAGGAATGTGTTTCAGATAACTTTTTTTCCTAGTATGGTTCTGGGTTAGAGTTGAACATGAGGGAAGAAATGCATGAAGTTTGTAAGGGGAAAGTAAAACAGCTGCCACTGAGTTCTGAAGTCATCACTGGCTCCAGGCAGTGAGGAGTAGCATCAAAAGTGCCAGTGAGTTCCAATTTATGCTGACTTTCCCCTGCTTCACATCCAGCTCTTTATACCGACTGCCAGCCCTGCTGACCAGGAGGGACTACAGTCCCACTACCAAACTTGTCTGAGAACTCACAGGGCTGTTGGCACATAGAGTCAGCCATCTTCCATAGATTCCTACACCAGCCCCTTCAGGGTTCCATGTAGTGCATGGATATACCCAACTTAATGCAAAACTTAATGCAAAGTCCAGTTCATCCACCTTCACCAGAGCTGGTTAGAGTTGTGTTTTCTGACCCTTTTCAAACTTTCACTTATCCATCTTCTCTCCAAATTGTGTCAGGCCTAATTCCTATAATATACTCTTTTGTTCCTTAATGCTCATGGCGGTTTTTCTTCCTTGACACTTCCATTTGTGTTATGGGTTTGCCATAGCCCAAGCCATACATTGTCAACAGCTAGTATGTGCTATGACTTTTCATTTTTTGAGACTACTTCAATGCCATCTCTTAAAATTAGTCAATGTGACCAGTTTTCTTGGTGTCTGGGGGACTTCAGTATCCATGAGAACTGTTGGAAAAGGAGATAGAAGTTAGAGTCAGAGGCATGGGACCAAAGGGCTGTGGCACAAGAAAAGCCATGGTATTGGGGTCTGATAGCCCATAATAGGGCTCTACATCTTTGCCTGGGATTAATCTGCTACCAGGAATCAAAGACCATGCAGCAAAGAAGCATGCTTAATGGGGCAGACACAGAATATGATGGATCCTCTTTCTGCTCTGAGTTGGTATAGTAAAGTTTTGTGCAAAAACAGTGACGATTAAAGATGATGGTTAACACATAGATAGGTAATTGTAATTAAGTATTGGTAAAATAAAACAATAATACTTCTAGTTGTGATAGACCTAGCATTCTGATTATCCAAAATATTGGAAATCATGAAGGGAACCATAGGTGTTAATTGTTCCAAAGTTCGCATAGGCTTCAGGAGAAGGGTAACGATAAGACTAATCTCAGATTTTCTTAACATAATTATATAATAAAATGTTACAGTTAATCATGAAAAAATGAAAAGAACTGTGGACTTCTGAAAGGCAAAATAATGAAATGACAAAAATAGTGAACAAAAATAAGGTCATGGACAAGGGAAGAAGAAACCAAAATGTGAGAAAAATTAATGTACAAAGCAAAATAAGAAACATAACTCAAAACCAAGGAAATCACCTACTATAGAAAACTATACAGAAATACATTTAAGACAATGGACTAAGGATTCTAGTTGTATAAATCATGAGGCTGAAAAAATACACAATGCTTATGAAATACCCACCTGAAGAATAAAAACAACAAAAAGGCTACATGTAGAAAGGTTGAAAAAGAAATACTAAACAAATACAATCTTAAAAACATGAAAGAGTTTTATTGACGTCATCCCAAAAGGACTTCAATGCAAAAAGAGCAGCAGGGAAAAAAATAAGAGTACCAAGTAATGACAAATTCAAATGACTGTGGTGTGGTATCATGCCTGTAATCCCAGCACTTTGGATCACTGGAGGTCGGTGTGGTATCTGGTCTTCAAAGATGCCAGCCTGATGAAACACACTGGCCAGTGGTCATCTTCCCATGAGTGCCCTTTGCTTGAATCCGAGCTGGCTGGATTGTGGTGGAGGTGACACTGCATATTTCCCAGGCTGGGCTGTAAGGAGATCTGAACCCCCGCAGGGTACCTAAGTGCCCTGCAGACACAGAGACTTGGGAGCCACATCCAGTGATGCTCACCAGGGGTGGGGTGGCAGCGCTCCCTCTCTTGCCTGCCTTCACTGTGCTTATTAAGGATTTCTAATTAGCAGGAAGCAACCGCAGGCTGGGAGCGCCACCCCTAACATACTACTGACTTCTCCCTTCCTATTTCCACTCCAGTTGCTGTCCCCTTTGACGACGATGACAAGATCATTGGGGGCTACACCTGTGAGGAGAATTCTCTCCCCTACCAGGTGTCCCTGAATGCTGGTTAGCACTTCTGTGGTGGCTCCCTCATCAGCGAACAGTGGGTGGTATCAGCAGCTCACTGCTACAAGTCGTTGGAGCCCCTGACTGCAAAGCTCCCAGCCAGGCTGCCTGGGAGAGCTTGGCTTCAGCCCAGGGAAGTACTGAGTATGGGTAAGATGAATTGGAGAGGTGGTGGAGAAGAAAACTTGTTGACAGCAGCTGACTCTCCAGAGCAGAGAGTGAACACAAGACAGGAACCGCTCACACTCAGGCCAATCCACGAAACAGCAAGGGTTGTGGTCATAAAAGCATGCAGGGATGATCTTGGGGTGGTCAGAGCTAGTGAGAAAAGCAGGCAAGTACCTCACCTACTGGTTGTGATGACAAAATGAAAAAAAATTCTTAACTTGTATGAGTTACAGGCTGTATACTAAGTTACGTGGTATATAGTAAGCACACAGAAATGATTCACTGTTATCATAATTGAAGGACAGTGGTTTGGTGTGCTAAGCACTAAATACAAGCCAGAAAGATGTCTTAGAGAAGCAGACAAAGAAATCTATAGTTCAGAATGAACAGTACCAAGAATGGCAGGTACTCCAAATTGAGCTTGGCAGCTGGATCTGAACCTATCCTACACATCTGAGTCTACAGTATGAGGTAACAGTCTCCACCTATAGCTATCTTCTCTGCCTGTAAGGTCATTCCTTTTTGAAGAAAGCTGACCTCAGACTATATTGTGATCATTTAAGGAAGAGCGCAAAATACTGGAGAAGGCTAGTCTTCAAGCTCTAGATACAGAAAATCCTCATATTCTTGGGTGTTCCTTTCAGAAAGAGAGTCAGAGCCACAAGCACTGATCCAAAAATCCCCTTCTCCAAAACAATTTTCCTTCTTCTACGAAGGTTCACCTCCCTCTTTAGCGCACACCGGTGTCTACAGTTGCTAGAGCAAGAGCCTTTCCTTATCCTCTAAGACAGGAGTTCTGTGAAGACCCCATGACAAGGGGACAAAATGAAACAACATGTTTAGGGGCAACACAGGAAAAGCCCATATTATCAATGCTCCAAAACGTGGCTACCTCAGGCTTGGCCAGTTATTTGTGAGCAGAGAGGTGTGTCATCTACATGGCAGTCATGGCCTGGATGGGTCTGGAACTGTGGCAAGGGAAGTCTCTGAGACAAGGTGCCAGGAGAAAGATGAATTCAATCATCTATTTCTGCCAGGAAGAAAAGCAGCAGGAAGGAATCAGAGGCACAGTTTGTCCTCTGGGGACCTCTGCCTTGATCCTCAATAAATCTCCTTTTAGATGTCACCTGCAGCAATTCCCACACTTCACAACGATCTCCATGGCTTCCTTTGGCCTTATGGTCAGCTCTGCCAAGATCTGTATTCTTGGGCAAGACAGAATCTTTCTGAATCTCAGTCTCTTCCTCTATAAATGGAAATAATTATGCTCTGCACAAATCACAGTTAGCATGTTTGTGGGAAGTTAAACTGTGAAACTCGGCATAAATGAAAAGCAATGTACCACTGTTGCTTACGTGACAACTCTTGTAAAGCTGTCAGGCACCATGCACTATCCAAGTATAGCCATGTTAGGTATGAGCCCATCAGTGATTAGAGGGGATACGGGGTGGAGAGCGGGTCTCTGAGCAGTGGATCTCATGGCTGTGGGGAAGTTGGCTCAGCGGCCATGCCAGGAACTGAACCCGAAGGTACTCTATGTGTCTTCTCAACTCCATGGGCCCCACTTTGGCATTTTTTCCCAATTCCCTCTGGTTTCCATTTGCTTCCTCCCTCTAGCCCCCTGGCCATGTCCAATTTCAACACCAAGTTTCTGAGCTTTTCTCATTTTGCTCACCATCTCCAGAACATCCCTGCTTCTTTTACCTTTCAAAGAATTCAAACTTGAACTCTGCTCACTCCTGCCCATCACCAACCTAAGCTCAGAGTTGCTGAGAACGGAAAGTACTCTCATAAGGAAGCTCCTCCTTTCCTTACATCATTAGACTTGAGCGCAGACGGCATCTCCATCTCCACACTGCTCTGGCCAGCTTGTGCTTCAGTCAATTACACAACTGTGTCTTAGTAGCCTTGGTGGGGTCCAAATCAGGATATTCTCTGGGAAGATTCACTTTGTACTGAGCTCAGCATAATCTCACTGCATCTAAAATAGAAAACTCTAGACCCACCCCTCCACATCTTCGTTATTGAACCCAATATGTGACCCATTTACCATATGCTAAAATCTCTACCTTGAACTGACAATTTACAAAAGAAGATATATGGGAAATCAGCACATTAAAAGATGCCCAGCATCATTAATCATCAAGGAAGTGCAGATCAAAATTGCCTCCTGACATGATTATAGACCTACCAGAATTGCTAAAATGAAAAAGGCTAATCACTACTAACACAACAGCAACTCTCATACATTACTGTATGGTGTAAAATGATACAACCATTTTGGAAAACTGTTTGCAAGTTTCTTAAAACATTTATACATACCTCTTCCATTTAACTCACAACATGTACAGAAATGCAAACACATGTCCACAAAAAGCCTTGCACAAAAGTGTTTACAGCAGCACGCAACTAGAAACAACCCAAATGTCCATCCACTGGGAAGTGAATAACCAAACTGTAGTATGTGCATGCAACTGTCTTCTGCTTCTGGGCTAAGTTCTTTGCTTTTAAGCACTTCTGGGATTAGATTGGACCCACCCAGATAATTCCAGATAATCTTACTTTAAGTCCCACAAACACCACCATCCCCTGCACCACCTCAGCCCTCCTGCTCTTCAGAGCTCAGTGCACAGGGCTCATTTCCTCTCAGATGACCTTCTCCACTAAGTCAGTTTATACAGTGTTCACTTCTTATGCAGAGCTAGACCAGCTTCCCACATGTTCCAGGGCAGACTCACTTTGAGCAGGCTGTATGTGTGTGTGTGTGTGTGTGTGTGTGTGTGTGTGTGTGTTCCTTGCTTTCTGCTATAAATTGAAGATTGTGGAGGGCAGGGCTTTTATACATTTTAAAATTTAAATATTAGTCTTTTTATTATTGAATTGTAGCAACTTTTAGAAAATATATTCTTGACATAAGTCCCTTGACAGATACATATGAATATTTTCTCTCAGTCTGAGATTTCCCTGTTTCTTAATAGTGTCTTTTGATGGTTAGAAGACTTAAATTTTAATGAACTCAATTTTTTTGAAACAATGTGGCCAGTGCTTTCTGTCAATTCCTTAACAAATTTATGTCCACACCCAAAGTCATAAAGATATTCTCCTAGTTTTTCTTCTAAAAGCTTTCTAGTTTTACTTTATTTATGAGTAGGCCTATGATCCCTTTGGAATAATTTTTATATAGGGTGTGAAGTAAGGGTTGAGGTTTGTTTCCCCCTCATATGGATATCTAGTTGTTTCCACATTATTTTTTGAAAAAAATTGTTTTCTTTTCCTATTGAATTGCTTTTGGGTTTTTGTGGAACAAATTATTTGACCATATATGTGTGGGTTTATTCCTGGAATCTTTTTCATTGATTTATTGTGTTGTCTTCACCAGTACATTATAATCTTGAAGACTGTGACTTTATCTTAAATCTGGAAGTCAGGTAGTGTAATGTCTCTAAATTTCTTCATTTTCAAAATTCTTTGGGCTATTCTAGGTTGTTTTTTCCATATATATTTTATATATTCTAGGATGAATTTCCATATATATTTTTAAATCAGCTTGTTAGTTTCTATTTTTAACAACCAACTAGAATTTGGAATGGTATTCCATTGCATCTATAGATATATTTGGAAAGAAGTTATCTATTAACAGTAGTTTTATTTTTCTCTGCAAAGTTTTAGTTTTCATTATAGTCTTCTTACACACTTTTGTTAAATGTATCCCTATGTATTTGGATGCTATTATAAAAGGCATTCAAAATTTTTTATCTTCAAATGCTACATAATTATGCATGAATGTACTATGGGTAACTTTGGGTTTAACCAACATGGATTCACAGAACTTTTTGGATTTGTATATTTACATCTTTCCTCCAACTTGGGAAGTTTTTGGCCACTACGTCTTCAAATAATTTTTCTGCCCTTTTCTCTTTCTTTTGTCTGGAGATTTCAATAATGTATATGTGTTTGGTGCATGGTGTCTTTTAGGCTCTGTTTACTTTTTCTCACTCTTATCTTTTGCTCCTTAACTCGATAGTTTCAATGGACTTATCTTCAAGTTTGCTAATTCCTTCTTCTGCCTTTTCAAGTCTGCTTTTGTATCCTTCTAGTCAATTTTTCTGTTAGGTTACTCTATTTTTCAGCTCCAGAATTTCTATTTGGTTCTCTTTACAATTCCAATCTCTTTGTTGATATTCTTATTTGTTTATATATTGTTTTCTTGATTTCCTTTATTTCCTTGTCTGTGTTTTCCTTTAGCCCTTTAAGCATATTTAAGACAGCTGTTTTGAAATCTTAATTTAGTAAGTCTGAGACCTGTGTTTTTTCAAAGATGAGTCTGGATATTCATTTTCTTGCTTTGAATGGGCTATGCGTGTTTTCCCATTTCCTATATGCTTTGTAAGTTTTTGTTGAAAACTGCAATTTGGATTAAATGGCCACCTCTCCCAATCTTTGAAGAATGGCTCTGCACAGAGGAAGACCTTTGTTAATCACTCTAATGTAAATGCTTATGGTCTTTGGACATACACCTTCCATGGGCCTATGTGTGCACTATTTTTCCAAATATCCCACATAGACAGCTGTTATTAATGTCTTAATTTCCCTAGGAGATTCACTCCTGCCTCTTCTAGAGGCCTCAGCATTCTATTGCATTCTTTAATCAAAAATCTCTTTCCGCTGGCATCCCTGCTTCTGTAGTTTGGTACGTTTTTCACAAGCCTTACCCACTCTTCCTGCAGATTTCACTAGCCTGAGATTTGAGCTAGTCAGTTTTGCCATCCAAGTTCTGATTTAGGCCACACAAAGACCAACTCCTCAGCCACCCCCAACAGATGAGGATGTAACAAATCTGGCCTCTGCATTTTATAAGTTGAGGTTTCATGGCTGCTAGGTATATTTCATAACTTATTTTATTTTTAGCTGTTACTCCACTCTTTACTATTAAAACTTCCTAAGCATACAGATATTTCCAAGGAAGGTCTTGGAGAAAATTAAGTAGAGGCAGAAAAAAGCTGGCATAGAGATCCACATGGAGATTTGGAGGAAGTCATGGCGTTACGACAGTAAAATAAAAGTTTCTTTGTCCTCATGCAATTCAATCGTTCTTTTAACAGGCATTTACTGTGTGCTTACTCTGTAAGAGTCATTGGAGATAAAGCAGTGACAAAGTGGAAAAAAATCCTGCCCTCATCAAACTTACAATCTAGCAATGAAGGAGAGAAATACACAAATAAGGATGGTATTTGGCATGCTGAATGATAATGAGGGCTGCAAGAGAAATGGGGCAGGAAGTTAATAGGGGGTGGTGGTTTGGGGGTGGGTGTCAACACTGTTCCTAATGGATGATCACTACAAGTGATCTGGGAAGACATTATTGACAAGGTGACATTTCAGCAGAGATTGGAACAGAAGAGAGACCATCATTTGGGTATCAGGGGTAGCAATTCAAGGCAGAGGGAAGAGCAAATGCCAAGCCCTGGGGCAGATGCATCTTCGTGCATTCAAGGAGCAGCAAGGTGACCTTTTATACTGGAGCAGAGTGAGCGAAGGCCCAGCTCTGGAGTTAGATCAGAGAGATAACCAGTGGCCAGCTCAGCCTGGACTTCATGGGTGATGGGCATAATTTGGCTTCTACTCTGATGAGTGGAAATATATTGGGGTTTTGAGCTGGGGAGTGACCTGGGAGGCTATTCTGGTGCTGGCTGGAGCACAGACTGGGTGCAAGGGCAGGAGAAGGAATATTGTTAGTAGGCAGCCACAGTCATCCTGTCAAGAAGTGATGGTGCCAAGAACACATGAAGGCAAAGAAGTGGTAAGACACAGGCACATCCTGAAGGTAGGGATAGAGGCTTTGCTGATGGGATGGAGAAGAGACAACCAGGGAATAAGTCAAGAAATACCACAAAGCTGTATTCTGAACACCTGTCAGGATGATGTTGCTTTCACAGCAAAGGGGTACTGAGGGACAGTAAGTTTGGAGAAGTCTAAGGTTTGGTTCTGACACGTCAATTGTCCACATGAACAGTTTCAGAGGAGTTAGTTTTCAGGGGCCTTTTAAATATCAAAGTAGAAATAACCAGTGCTCAGGAGGATATAAGGGTCTGAGGCTCAAGAGAAAGGTCATAGCTGCAGGTATAAATGTGGTGGCTCATCGGGGAGTGAGCTGTCCAAGTTCTGTGCAGATTTCAAGGGGTAAATTCAATGAGCCTGTTTGTGGCCACAGCCTTCCTCAGGCTTCCCAGTATCCACATTACCACAAAAAGCCTCAGTGGTGATCTACTTGAGTCTGTCCCCACATGTTGGGGCTTGAGTTGTGCAGAATCCCCATCTTGCTCCCTTTCTCCAACATGACAAGAAGACCTCAGTTAGCCAAAATGTCCTGAAGAGGGCTGAGGAATTTGGTCTGAATCATCCCACAAATTCATGGTACAGGAAATAAGTGCTGCTCTTGTCGTTGGCTCTAGAAAGATGATATCGGCCGGGCGCAGTGGCTGATGCCTGTAATCCCAGCACTTAGGGAGGCCGAGGCAGGCGGATCATGAGGTCAGGAGATCAAGACCATCCTGGCTAATACGGTGAAATCCCATCTCTACTAAAAATACAAAAAATTAGCCGAGCATGGTTGTGGGTGCCTGTAGTCCCAGCTACTCCGGAGGCTGAGGCAGGAGGAGAATGGCGTGAACCCGGGAGGCGGAGCTTGCAGTGAGCTGAGATGGTGCCATTGTACTCCAGCCTGGGTGACAGAATGAGACTCTGTCTCAAAAAAAAAGAAAGAAAGAAAGATGATATCAACCAATGTTTTGCCATGAGACTTTGCTTTGGATTGGGATTTTAACTCTGGGGTCTGGCTCCAGGCCTCTTGCCTTCCTCTTTACGAGGTTGACTGGGGATGGTTAGCCATCCAACCAAGTCCTCATGTTTCTGAGAGTCATTCCCAGCCGTATCATCCTATTAACCATTGAATCCACTGTCTACCACTGCCCAAGGCTGGGATGCATTTTTTTTTTTTTTTTTTTTTTGGCTAGCTTCATTGAGATATAATTGACAAGTAAAAATTATGTCTTTAAGGTGTACAATATATTTTGATATGTGTATACATTGTGAAATGATTACCACAACCCAGCTAATTAACATTCCCATTAACATACATAGCATTTTTTTTTTGAGACGGAGTCTCACTCTGTCACACAGGCTGGGAGTGCAGTGGCACAATCTTGGCTGACTGCAACCTCTGCTTCCCAGGTTCATGCAATTCTCCTGCCTCAGCCTCCTGAGTTTTTTGTGGTGAAAATATTTAAGATCTACTCTCTTAGTATATTTCAAGTACACAATACATTATTATTAACTAGAGTCTCTATGTTCTACATTAGGTTTCCAGAAAGTTACTCATTTTATATTTAAAAATTTGTACCCTTGAACCAATATCTCTCCATTTTCCTCACCCCCTGACTGCTGGTAACCACTCTTCTACTTTTGGTTTCCATGAGTTCGACTTTTTCAGATCCCATGTATAAGTGAGACCATGTAATATTTATCTCTCTGTGTGGCTTATTTATTTCACTTAGCATGACTTCCACGTTCATCCACATTGTCACAAATACTAGGATGTCCTACTATTGCTTGAACCCAGAGGGTGGAGGTTGCAGTGAGCCGAGATCGCACCATTGCACTCCAGTCGGGGTGACAACAGTGAGACTTCATCTCAAAAAAAAAAAATCTTTGAAAAGAAGTGAGGATTTGAGGCTTGGCACAGTGGCTCATGCCTGCAATCCCAGCACTTTGGGAGCCTGAGGTGGGTGGATCATTTGAGGTCAGGAGTTCAAGACTAGCCTGGCCAACATGGTGAAAGTCCATCTCTACTTAAAGTACAAAAATTAGCTGGGCATACATCTGTAGTCCCGGCTACTCAGGGGCCGAGGCAGGAGAATAGCTTGAATCCAGGTGGTGGAGGTTGCAGTGAGCTGAGATCACACCACTGCACTCCAGCCTGGGGAACAGAGTGAGACATTATCTCAAAATAAAATAAATAAAAGAATAAAAAGAAATGCAGATTTGGGACAATGGGGACACTTAGCTGATGCACAGCGCAGGTGAGCAGTCCTTTTGTGACCATGAAGACACAATTCCCAGGAGCCCACCTTGGGGTCTCCTAGAAAAAGCATGTGGGCTGCTCACCAGCTGCATATCCACCTTTCCTTTCCTGCACTCTCAGGAAGATGAGAGTTCTGGATTCAGCTGAACTGAGTTCAAGTTCAGACTCTGTGACTCACTGGCTGTGTAATTCTGGGTAAGTTACTTGCTCTCCTTGAGTCCCGTATCCTCCATGGTGAAATGGAGAAGTGGAGTTATTGTAAGGATTTGAAGGCAAGGCAAGAGTTAAAGACACACACACACACACACAGACACACAGACACACACACACACACACACACACACACACACACACACACACACACAGAGATTGGCCGCTTCAACAGCAACACAGGTTTATTACTAGCAAAACCCTGCGGAGGGGGAAACCAGCTTAGTGTCAGCGCCCACTGCCACTTACAGGCTGGGGTAATCATGGGGCTGGGAGGGAGGGCTCTGGACAGTATAGCTTGCTGCTCAGTAGAAGATGATAAGGATGTTCCTGAAGTCAGGCTGTTGGGCCCTTGCCCAGCAGGATGTGATAAGGATGTTTCTGCAGTCAGGTGGTTAGGATGTTTCTCACAGCCCGAGTTCCCATGGAATGTTTTACTCTGACCAGGATCTGCAAAACATCAAGGGGTTTACCAAATAGTGCAGCTTAGACTAACAGTAACCTCTCCCAGGTAGACAGTTCTTCAACAGTAAACTTCCCTTGAGCATCTACACTGTACCAGACATGGTGCTAGGACCCAGGCCACAGGAGGAACAAGACAGATGAGGCCCCTGCCATCCTGGTGCTCATGTCTGATGAAGGAAGCTAACAGGTCATAAGACTAGGTCAGATGGTGGTGGTAATGAAAGACATTACCAGAGTGAGATGAGCTAGAAAGAAACTGAGGGAGCTGTTCCAAACACAGTCACAGGGAGAGACCCCTCCAAGAGGTGACCTGTGAGCAGCAACCTGAGAGATGTGGGGTGGGGGGAGGCATGGAAAAGGAGCTGCCCCTGAAGCCATCCCAGGAGTAAAGACCCAGCACGAGGTGGGCAACAGAATGGCCTGACCTGTGCATCCTTCATGCTTCCTTCCTCAGTGGTGCCCAAACAGAAACATGGGGCAATTCCATGCAGGGTCCATAGAGGGAGCAGAAAGCAGCTGCAATGAAGAACCACGGTGGGGATGAAATCTGGCCCAAAAGTGAAGCTAGAAGCAGGTGCTGCTTATCACTCACCACAACACAGGTCATAAAGCATAACCAGCACCTGAAGGCACGTCCAGGGCCAGACCAGCTGGCTGGGCTGCCAGCATCCTAGTAGAGATCCCAGGAGATCAGATAAGCTGGTTGAAGGTGGGGGAGAAAAGGAAAGCTTCAGAAAATTCCATAGGACCCATGACACTTAGCATGAACTTCCCCTGAGTGGGATCTGTTTGACATTGCTGGTTCTAAAGAGTTGGTCCCACCACCCCCACCTGCCCGGTGCCCGACCAGGGGAAAACCTGGGGTAAGGTCCACAGAAACAATCCCTGTGGAACGGGAAAGGGTGTTCTCATCCAAAACCAAGGGAGGAATCCCACAAAACACCACTCATATGGAGCAGAGGGGCCTGCAGGGAGAAACAGGATTCTGCTGCTCATTGGGGAATCTGCTTTTCAGCAGGAAAGGGGAACATGCAGGATACAGAAGCAAAGTGGACCCTGAGCTGTGGGGTTAGGGGAGCTGGTGCTGACACTGTCAGGGATAAGCCACAATAGGAGGCTTAAAACCCCTTACTTAGAACACACTAACTCAGAGGGCACCTGAGTGTAACCTGAGATGGTCCCTGAAGACTTTTCATCCAAGCAGGATCCCTCCCTTGCCATCTCCAGACCTGCCCCACAAGCTCCCTCCCTGGTCTCCTGGCTCTTGTTCACTCCTTCCAGGAAGACTTCCACAGTCATTTCTAAAACGTGGCTGACTGACCCTCCTTTATCCAGAACCTTCCATGGCTCCCCAGAGCCCTCCAGATCAAGTTCAAGTTCTTTGATCAGACACCTGATCTCAAGCTGTATTCTGCCTCCTGAATTAAGATACCAGAGATGCCCACCTTGCTCAGCACAAGTGCATCAATGAAGTCCAAAGTCTTGAATGTGGCCCTGGCCTTGAGGATGTCAACACTCTGGCTAGTGAGGGTGCAGTGCTGCTCCAGGATGATGGTGTCTAAAGTTGTGCACCAGGTCATAGGCCCTGCAGAAACATCTCCCCTCAGGAGTGAGGTAGTACAGGAAGTCCATGCACAGGCAGATCTGCTGGTGCCATTACACTATGAGGGCATGGAGCTCCAAGATGGTGGCAACATAGTCACTAGAATTCCTACAGGGTAAGGCTGGGGAGAGGAAGTAACTGCATAACACATATGATACCCTGGAAGCACTTCCCAGCCAGTCTCAGGACCACATTACATCCAGATACAGGTGCCCTCTGAGCACACTTCTCTGCCTCCCACTCTGAGCTGCCTCCTGGCCCCACATGGGCAGCCTGGCCCAGGGCTTGGAGCCCAGCAGGTGTTCAGTCCATGGTGTTGACTGCTCCCTGGGCCAGGAGAGCCCTTGGTGACTCTGTGACTCCTCCTGTGGAACCTCTGACTCTGCCTTGGGACCTCCCAATTCCCATGGAAAGCCCCCATGGCTCTGGATTGCCCCACGTTGCCTGGGATCATCCAGCCCCGTAGGCCTAACTTGATGCCTTAGCCCTCCCAGAACATGACATGTTTCTCAGAATGTGGCTGATGTCCAGGGCCATCTGTGGATGTTTGCTGGGGGCCTCTTGCTGTTCTCCTTTATGGTCTGTAGGGCAGGGCAAGGCCAAAAGAAGAAACCAATCCAACCTCAGAATGGACAAAATGCTCACTGCCACAAACGGCAACCACCTACAGTCAGCAGTGCTTCTGGATGGAAAAGAGGTTTCATTCTGCAAAACGCTCCTTGTTGGCTTCTTTCTGAAGCCAGGGAAGGGTACCAAGCCCAGCTTACCTGCAGTGCCTACATTAGCATCTGTGCCTAGGATGTGCGATGGGCCCCTGCTCCCACTGCAGGGTTGACGTTCCCTCCAGCTGGAGACCTGGGCTCCTGACACCACCTGGCCTGTTTGTCCTGCTCTGGATGAGGGTGGAAAGGCTGTATCTGGCATTTTCCTAGGTCCTTAGTTTCCATCTTCTAGACATCCAGCAGGAGTGACCATGCCCAGCCCCACACCTGAAATGGGACTCCCTTGTAGAGCCGCTGAGACATCTACAGACAGAAGAGTGCTCTGGTGAGACAGGCCACAGGGGTCCCCAGGGAGGGTTGGGGGCCAGCAGATTCTGAAGGTTTCCAGTCTTGGGCTCTGTGGTTCCTCAAAGAGGTTAGGTTTACCTAAAACCAGGCCTCTCCTCCAACGATTGAAAGAGTGGATGAGTGCTCTGCATCAGGAACTCTGATCTGGACCTATTTTTTCATGTAGGTCACCAAGAGACAACCCCTAACCTCTGAGCTAGGGATGGTCCAAGCTCTGGCATGAGATTTTCTTCTAGCAACGTGATGCTTACAGGGACAGGTAGAAAAGCTGGTGATCAGGCCTGCTGTCCTCCGGGTAAGGACAGTGTGCTACCCACCCTCTGAGAGGCCAGTGGTGCCAGGCCACAACACTGGGTGCCTGTACCCCTGGCTCTGCAGACACCGGTCATGGAGGCCCTCCCCTCTTCACATCACATTCTTGCTGCTCCTATATTTCTTCTAGTCATTAAACAATTTGGGCCATTTTTCTGTGCATCCAATCTGACTTTTTTTTTATTTTTTATTGATCATTCTTGGGTGTTTCTCGCAGAGGGGGATTTGGCAGGGTCATAGGACAATAGTGGAGGGAAGGTCAGCAGATAAACAAGTGAACAAAGGTCTCTGGTTTTCCTAGGCAGAGGACCCTGCGGCCTTCCGCAGTGTTTGTGTCCCTGGGTACTTAAGAGTAGGGAGTGGTGATGACTCTTAATGAGCATGCTGCCTTCAAGCATCTGTTTAACAAAGCACATCTTGCACCGCCCTTAATCCATTTAACCCTGAGTGGACACAGCACATGTTTCAGAGAGCTCAGGGTTGGGGGTAAGGTCATAGATCAACAGGATCCCAAGGCAGAAGAATTTTTCTTAGTACAGAACAAAATGAAAAGTCTCCCATGTCTACTTCTTTCTACACAGACACAGCAACCATCCGATTTCTCAATCTTTTCCACACCTTTCCCCCTTTTCTATTCCACAAAACCGCCATTGTCATCATGGCCCGTTCTCAATGAGCTGTTGGGTACACCTCCCAGACGGGGTGGTGGCCGGGCAGAGGGGCTCCTCACTTCCCAGTAGGGGCGGCCGGGCAGAGGCGCCCCTCACCTCCCGGACGGGGCGGCTGGCCGGGCGGGGGGCTGGCCCCCCACTCCCTCCCGGATGGGGCGGCTGGCCTGCCGGGGGCTGACTCCCACCTCCCTCTCGGACGGGGTGGCTGCCGGGCGGAGGGGCTCCTCACTTCCCAGACGAGGTGGCTGCCAGGCGGTGACGCTCCTCACTTCTCAGACGGGGCGGCTGCCAGGCCGAGGGTCTCCTCACTTCTCAGACGGGGCGGCCGGGCAGAGACGCTCCTCACCTCCCGGATGGGGTCACGGCCGGGCAGAGGCGCTCCTCACATCCCAGACGGGGCGGTGGGGCAGAGGTGCTCCCCACATCTCAGACGATGGGCGGCCGGGCAGAGACGCTCCTCACTTCCTAGATGGGATGGCGGCCGGGTAGAGGCACTCCTCACTTCCTAGATGGGATGGCGGCCGGGCAGAGATGCTCCTCACTTTCCAGACTGGGCAGCCAGGCAGAGGGGCTCCTCACATCCCAGACGATGGGCGGCCAGGCAGAGACGCTCCTCACTTCCCAGATGGGGTGGCGGCCGGGCAGAGGCTGCAATCTCAGCACTTTGGGAGGCCAAGGCAGGCGGCTGGGAGGTGGAGGTTGTAGCGAGCCGAGATCACGCCACTGCACTCCAGCCTGGGCACCATTGAGCACTGAGTGAACGAGACTCCGTCTGCAATCCCAGCACCTTGGGAGGCCGAGGCTGGTGGATCACTCGCGGTTAGGAGCTGGAGACCAGCCCGGCCAACACAGCGAAACCCCGTCTCCACCAAAAAAATAGGAAAACCAGTCAGGCGTGGCGGCGCGCGCCTGCAATCGCAGGCACTCGGCAGGCTGAGGCAGGAGAATCAGGCAGGGAGGTTGCAGTGAGCCGAGATGGCGGCAGTACAGTCCAGCTTTGGCTCGGCATCAGAGGGAGACCGTGGAAAGAGAGGGAGAGGGAGACCATGGGGAGAGGGAGAGGGAGAGGGAGAGGGAGGAGAGGGAGAGGGAGAGGGAGAGGGAGAGGGAGAGGGAGAGGGGGGGCGATCTGACATTTTTGCTCTCAGATGAAACATGATAAAGGAAGCCAAGCTGCCAGGATTCCTGGAGGGGACCTTGGGTGCTGGGTCTTGGGCTCCAGGGCCCTAATGGGACTGAACCAGAAGGAGCCAGGGAAGGGCAAACACTGGGACTGAGGCCCTAGGACCCAATGGCCATTGGTGGCCAGACCTTATGGCCCCAACATACCCTGTCCTCAGGCCACAGACATCATGGGCTTCAGTCAGGTCCCAGCCTCCCAGTAGTGTCCTGGTACTAGCAGGTGCTGACCCCTGAGCCACGACCATAGTTCTGGGTTTTGGGTTTTGGTAAAACCACCTCAGGGACAGAGTTCTGGGGTTGGGTTTGGCAGGAACCATGGTGCCTCCCAGGGATGGTGTGTCACTCCTACTTGCCACAAAATGTGCACAAAGGCTGTCCCACTGTCCAGCCCATCCTGCTGGACAGGATGGAGGAAGTCAGGGAACAGGTAGGGTGGACATCTGGGGTGCAGGGAGAGGCAGGTGCATGCTGGGAGGTCAGACCCTGTGAGGGCTGTGGGGGCATCAGTTGGAGTGGGCTCCAGGTGCAACCTCAATGCACTAGGCAGGTCTCAGGCCAGGCTCCCTGGACCCCGGCTGGGTGATGTGGTCACTCCCTGGGGGACTGCTGTCAGGCCCTGGCCACCCACCCTGGGGAGCACTGTCCCATCTCAGGACTGGACTTTCTGAGTCCTGAGACAGGACAATACTGTCTAGGCCTGACAGACTGGGAGGACCTGTTAAGTCCTCCATCCCTAGACCAGCCTCCCACACAGCAAGGACAGTCTCTTAGCTCTACCTTCAGGGCACTGACTGATCCTGCTCACTCTAAGGCAACCAAGGCAGAGCTGAGGACCTGTGCCAGGCTGGGAGCCAGTCCCCTCCCTAAATGGGCCTGAGGGAAGCACCATCCCTGTCCCAAACCGCTGCAAGTTTCAGCCCAGGAGACACATAGGGAAGGGAGGACGGAGCCCCTCTGCTGGCTGACACTGGAAAAGCGGGACCCGGGAGAAGAGGGAGCGCAGGGCTGGCAGGGGACACTCCAGGCCAATGGATAGCTCCGGCTGCACCATGGGGCTGCCCCTCCTGGGCTGGAGGCTGTGCCCTCTGCAGTATCTGAGAAAGTCCATTCCTGAGATGGGACAGTGCTGCCCATGGTGGGTGCCCGGTGCCTGACAGCAGTCCCCCAGAGAGTGACCACATCACCCTGCTGGGGTCCAGGGAGCCTGGGCTGAGACCTGCCCAGTGCACTGAGGGTGCACCTGGAGCCCACCCCACCTGACGCCCCCACAGCCCTCACAGGGTCTGACCTCCCAGCATGCACCTGCCTCTCCCTGCACCCCTGCTGCCCACCTTGCCTGTTCTCTGGCTTCCTCATCCTGTGCAGCCCATAGACTGTGACCATCTATCCGGCCACTCTGGCCCTTCCTTTACCTTTGTCCTGTCAGAATCTCTGAGCAAGATCTCCCAGGTCCATCCAAACACCTGCTTTGTCCAGTTTTGACTGGGCCTTTGGGCACTACTGGGCCATCCTGACTGTCCACAGCGCCCTCGATAACGTGCATTGCACCTGACATCTCCCAGCAGTGCTCAGCAGCCCCCGCTGACCAGGTCCCTGCTGACCATATCCCGCACATCAGGTCCTTCCTGACCACACCCTCACTGATTAGAACCCCATGACCAGACCCCACTAACCAGGCCCTTGCTGCTAGGCCCACAGTGTCCAGGACCCCACTGACCAGGACCTTACTGACCAGGGCCTCACTGACCAGGTCCTTACTGACTAGGCCTCACTGACCAGGTTCCACTGATCGTGACCCCAATGCCTGGCACCACAGATGAGGCCCCACTGACCAGGCCTCCAGGGAACAGGCTGCCACTGATCAGGCCCCTATTAACCAGGCCGTAGGGGACCAGATGCCCCTGACTGTGACCCTAGTGAGTAGGCCCCACTGAATAGGCACCCACTGCTCAGATCCCTGCTGACCAGGTCACCCCACAGACCAGAGCTACAAGAGCCACCACAGAATGTGCTCTCTCTGAACAGGCCCCCACTGATTAGGTTCCACTGACCAGGCTGCGCTGACCAGGGCCCCACTGACAAGGGCCTCACTGGTGAGGACATGGCCAGCAGGCCCTGCTGACTGGGTCCCATGTGACCAGGCCTCCACTGAATAGCACCCCTTGAGCTGGTCACCAGTGACCCAGCCCATGCTGACAAGGCCACCACTAAGCCCCAGCTGACCAGGTCTCCATTGACAAAGTCCTGCAGCCTAGTTTTTACACTGACCAGACACCAAACAAGTGGCTGCCACTAGGTCCCCACTCACCAAGACCCCACTACTAGGTCCCCCTAATGAGACCCTCTCTAAGTAGACCCCTGCTGACCACGCCCCCAATAAATAGGCCTCACTGACCAAGTCCCAGCTGACTAGGTCCACTGATGAGGCCCACACTGATCAGGGCCCTCATAACCATACCAGAAGGCCAAGCGACAATGAGATATTTCATATGGCAGAAGTAGGAGCAAGACAGAGAGAGAAAGGAGGTGCCACATCCTGTTATACAACCAGATCTCATAAGAACTCACTATCAGGAGATCAGCATCAAGAAGATTAACCATTGGTGAAGGAACCACCACCCACACCACCGCCCACTGTTTGCAGGCAGAAGCCTCCTGCAGAGGCAGAGACTCTTGGGAAACTTCTACCATGGCGGTGCAGAAGGGAAATATGGGCTTGGAGCCCCCACACAGGAGGTCACCATCCTCCAGACCCCAGATTCATAAGCCCACCAACAGTTCACACCCTCAGTATGGAAAAGCTATACGCACTCCACACCAGCCTAGCCCATGAGAGAAGACATGGGGGCTGAAGCCTGCAACGCTGCAGGTGCACTGCCCTAGCAGAGGTTTCCCATGAGCCTCTGCCTCTGAAGCAGACTACTCCCCCTTCCTACTACCCACCACCCTCCCACCACCCTACTGCCAACCTACTTCCCACACTACCCACCCCTTTTCCTTCCAACCCCAACCTCCTCCTGCCATGATTAAATCACCTCCCACCAGGCCCCACCTCCAACATTAAGGAGTACATTCCACAGGAGTTTTGGAAAAGAAACACAGCCAAACCATATTATTCTGACCCTGATACCCCAGAATCTCATGTCCTTCTCACAGAGCAAAATACATTCATGCCTTGTCAAAAGTTTCCAAAAGTCTTAACTCATTCCAGCATTAACTCAAATGTAAAAACTTCAACATCTCATCTGAGACAAGTCTACAGTCCCTTTCACCTATGAGTCCCTGAATTTAAAAGGATGTTCTTTTCTTTCAGGGTACAATGATGGTACAGGCATTGGGTAAGCTTTCTCAATTGAAAGGGAAGAAATTTCCCAGGAAAAAACCACAAATAGAACCACACGCCCAATGCAAGTCCAAAACCCAGGAGGCCAGTATCCATTCAATCTCACAGCTCCAAAATCACGAAGAGAACTCACTAGCATAAGCACAGCAATAAGGAGATGGTGTTTAATCATTTGTGAAGGATCCACCCCCCCACCACCACTTTTCACCCCTCACCCCCACCATAATCCCCTCATTCTCCCTACCCCCCACCTTCCAACCCTCACTCTCCACCATGATTAAATCACCCTCCACCAGGCCCCACCTTTAACTTTATTATTCTGTCCCTGGCTCCCAAATCTCATGTCCTTCTCACATTGCAAAATATAATGATGCCTTCCCTACAGTCCCCCAAATCTTGTATCATTCCAGCATTTATACAAATGTCCAAAGCTTAAAGTCTCATCTGACACAAGGCTACAGTCCCTTAGGTACAAGAGCCTCTGAACTATAAAGCAAGTTAACTACTTCCAAGGTACAATGCTTCTGCAGGCAATGGGTAAGCATTCTCAACTGAAAGGAAGAATTTTGCCAGAAAGAACAAAACACATACAGGTCTTACAGGCCCCATGAAACTCCAAACCCAGAAGGCCAGTCATTCAATCCTACAGTTCCAAAATCACCCTTTTTGAAACGTTGTCCCACATCCAGGGCACAGGGACATGAGGGCTGGGCTCTGAAGGCCTTGGGCAGCCCTGCACCTGTGGCTTTGCAGGGTTTATGCCCCACAGCTGCCCCCATGGGCTGGGCGGGTGTGGAGTGCCTATAGCTTTTCCTGACTGATGGTACAAGCTGTTGGTGGGTCTATGAATCTGGGGTCTGCATGATGGTGGCCTCCAGTGTGGGGGCTCCAACGCCATATTTTCCTTCTGCACTGCCCTAGTAGAGGTTTCTTATGAGGCTCTGCATTTTTGGGATGCTTTTATCTGGTCACCTAGGCATTTCCATACATCTTCCAAAGTCTACAGAGAGGCTCCCAAGCCTCTAGTCTCATGATCCATCCACCTAGTGGCTTAACACTATGAGGAAATTACCAAGGCTTCTAGCTTGCACCCTCTGAAGCAGTGACCCAAGCTGCATCTGTGCATTTTCAGCCATGGCTGGAGCTGGAGCTGCAGGGACGCAGGCAGCAGTGCCCTGAGGCTGCACATAGAGCGGAGCCACAGGACTGGCCCAAGAAACCATTCTTCTCTCCTAGGTCCCAGGGCCTGTGACAGCAAGGGCTGCTGCAAAGGTCTCCAAAATGCCGTCAAGGGCTTTTCCCTATTGTCTTGGCTATTAGCACTGGGCTCCTTTTCATGCAAGTTTCTGAAGCCTTCCTGAATTTTTCCCCTGAAATTCAGCTTTTCTTTTTGACCACTTGGCCAGGCTGCAAATTTTCCAAACTTTTGAGTCCTGTTTCTCATTTAATGTAAGAGTTGGGACTCATTTAATATAAGTCCCATCCAGAGGTCATTTTCGCAGTCACACATCACAGCACAGGCTGTTCGATGCAGACAAGACACCTCTTGAGCTTTGCTTCCTAGAAGTTCATTCCACCAGATATGCACTAAGTCATCACCTTCAAGTTTAAAGTTTCACAGATCTCCAGGGCAGGGTCACCATGCAGCCATGTTCTTTGCTACAGCAAAACAAAAGTAACCTTGGCTTCTGTTCCCAGTAAGTTCCTCATTATTATCTGAGACCTTCCAAGTCTGGTTTTCACTGACCATTTTCCTGTTAGCCTTCTGATCACAAGTAGTTAACAATTCTTTACAAAGATCCAAACTTTTCCTCATTTTCCTGTCTTCGAAGCCCTCCAAACTCTCCTGGTCTCTGTCTGTCACCCCCTTCTGAAACTGCTTCTACATTATCAGCTATCTTTGTCGCAGCCTGGCAATGTGGTAAAGGAAGACAAGTCCATTTTCAGGGAGAAAATTCAAGAAGGTCTCAGATACTTGAATGAAAAGAAGCAGAGTGCTGATTGCCAAGACAATAGGGAAAAGGTCTTGAAGACATCCACTTCCCAGTACTAATTTTCTCTATGATCATAAAGAACCTCATGATTCTGCAGGCTGTAAGGAAACATACTGGCTTCTGAATCTGGGAGGACTCAGGAAGCCTCCCAATCGTACCAGAATGTCAAGGGGCAATGGGATGATTCACGTGGCAGGAGTAGGAGCAAGACAGAGAGAGGAAAGAGGTGCCATGCCCTATTATACAAGCGGATCTCATGAGAACTCACAAGGTCAGCATCAAAAAGATGGTGCTTAACCATTGGTGAAGGATTTGCCCCCCACCCCCAACTCCCACTGTTTCCAGGCAGAAGCCTGATGTAGAGGCAGATCCTCTTGGAAAACGTCTACTAGGGAAGTGTGGAAGGAAAATATGGGCTTGGAGCCCCCACGCAGATGGCCACCAACCTCCAGACCCCAGATTCATAGACCCACCAACAGCTCACACCCTCAGTGTGAAAAAGCTATGGGTAGTCAACACCGGCCCACCCCATGAGAGCAGCCACAGGGGCTAAACCCTGTAAAGTCACAGGTGCACTGTCCTAGTAGAGGTTTTCCATGAACCACTGCCTCTGCAGCAGGTTACTCCCCCTTCCTACTACCCACCACCCTCCCATCACCCTACAGCCAACCCATTCCTCCCCACCCTACCCACCCTTTCTCCTTCCACCCCCAACCCCCTCCCATCCATGATTAAATCCCCTCCCCTAGGCCCCACCTTCAGCATTTGGGATTATAATTCCACATGAGTTTCACAGGGACACACAGCCAAACCATATTATTCTGACCCTGATACCCCAGAATCTCATGTTTTTCTCACAGAGCAAAATACAATCATGCCTTGTCAAAATTTTCCAAAGTCTTAATTCATTCCAAATGTAAAAACTTCAAAGTCTCATCTGAGACAAGGCTACCTTCTCTTCTGCCTATGAGTCCCTGAATTCAAAAGGGATTTCTTTTCTTTCAAGGTGCAATGATGGTACAGGCATTGGGTAAGATTTCTCAATCCAAAGGGAATAAATTTCCCCGAAAAATAACACAAATGCAAGTCCAAGCCCAGGAGGACAGTATTCACTCAATCTTAAAGCTCCATAATCATCAAGAGAACTCACTATCATGCAGACAGCATTAAGGAGATAGTGTTTAACCATTTGTAAAGGATCCATCCCCATCCTCATCTTTCGACCCCACCCCCAAAATAATCTCCACCATTCTCCCCACACCCGTACCTCCAACACCCATGCTTCACCATGATTAAATCACCTTCCACCAGGTCCCAACTTTCATATTCCCCATTACAATTCCACGTGAGTATCGGTAGGGACACAGAACCAAATCATATTATTCTGACCCTAGTTCCCCCAAATCTCATATCTTTGACACACTGCAAAATACAATGATGCCTTCTCTACAGTCCCCCAAAATCTTAAGTCATTCCAGCCTTTACTGAATATCCAAAGCCCAAAGTCTTATCTGACACAAGGCTGCAGTCCCTTCTGCCTCTGAGCCTCTGAAATACAAAGTAAGTTAATTACTTTCAAGGTACCATGATTGTACAGGCATTGGGTATGAATTCCCAGCCAAAAGAAAAAACTTTGCCAGAAAGAAGCACAAAATACAGATGAGACTTACAGATCTGATGCAAGTCAAAAACCCAGCAGGCCAGTCATTCCATTGTACAGCTCCAATCATCACTTTTCAATCCAAATCCCACATCCAGAACACAGGGGTGTGATGGCTGGGCTCCCAAGGCCTTGGGTAGCTCTGCACCTGTGGCTTTGCAGGGTCTTTCCCCCACAGCTGCCCTCATGGGCTGGGCTAGTGTTGAGCACTTGTAGCTTTCCACACTGAGGGTGCAAGCTGTTGGTAGGTCTATGAATCTGGGTTTGCAGAATGGTGCCTCCATGTGTGGGGGTTCCAACTCTATATGTTCCTTCTGTAATGCCCTAGAAAAGCTTTCCCATGGAGGGTCTGCCTCTTGGAAAAGCTTCTGCCTGGAAACCCAGGTTTTTCTGTACATGCTCTGGGGTCTAGACGAAGGCTCCCAAGGCTCTCCTCTTTTGCTCTGTGCACCTGCTGGCTTAACACTATGTAGAAGCCACCAAGGCTTGCATCTTGTACCCCTGAAGCAGTGACCCAAGCTGTGCCTGTGCATCTTTCAGCCATGGCTGGAGCTGGAGCTGCAGGGATGCAGGCAGCAGTGTGCTGTGGCTGAGCACAGCAGTGGAGCCTTGCAGCTGGCCCAGGAGAACATTCTTCTCTCTCAGGCCTTAGGGCCTGTGACAGCAAGGGCTGCTGCAAAGGTCTCTGAAATGCCTTCAAGGCCTTTTTCCCATTGTCTTGGCTATTAGCACTGGACTCCATTTTATACAAATTTCTGAAGCTCTCTTAGATTTTCCCACGAAAATCAGGTTTTCTTTTTGACCACTTGGCCAGGCTGCAAATTTTCCAAACTTTTAAGTTCTGCTTCTCGTTTAAATATGTTTCTACTTGAGGTCATTTATTTGGTCACACCGAAGACCACAGGCTTTTGGACACAGACAGGATACCTCTTGAGCTTTGCTGCCAGAAGTTCACGCCTATGATTTAGATACACCCTATGATTTAGATATACCCGAAATCATCACCCTCAAGTTCAAAGTTTCATAGGTCTCCAGGTTAGGGGCATCATGCAGCGACGTTCTTTGCTAAGGCAAAACCAAAGTAACCTTGGCTCCTCTTTTCAGTAAATTCCTCATTTTCATCTGAGACCTTGTAAGCCTGGCCTTCACTGTCCATCCTTCTGTCACCCTTTTAATTATAACAATTTAATGAGTCTCTACAATGGTCAAAACTTCCCTTCATCTTCCTGACTTCTTCCAAGGCCTCCAAACTTTCCAACCTCTGGCTGTTACCCTATTGTGATCCTGCTTTTACATTTTCATCCATCCTTATTGCAGCCTATCAATGCGGTAAAAAGAAGAAATGTCCATTTTCAGGGGAAAAATTCACAAAGGGATCCGATATCTGCATGAAGAGAAGCTGAGTGCTGATTGCCAAGACAATAAGAAAAAGGCTTTGAAGGCATTTCATAGCTCCACTTCCAAGCACCAATTTTCTGTAAGATCATAAAGAAAAGAGGTTGAACTGGCTCATGGTTCTGCAGGCTTTAAAGGAATCATAGAGGCCTCTGCTTCTGGGAGGAATCAGGAAGCCTCCCAATCATACCAGAAGAACAAGTGGCAATGGGATGTTTCATATGGTAGAAGTAGGAGCAAGACAGAAGGAGGAAAGAGGTATCACACCCTGTTATACAACCAGATCTCATGACAACTCACTATGACAAAATCAGCATCAAGAAGATGATGCTTAATCATTGGTGAAAGATCTGTCCCCCCCAACTCCCCCACCCCACCACTGTTTCCAGGTAGAAGCCTGTTGCAGAGCCAGAGCCTCTTGGAAAACCTCTACTAGGGCAGTGCAGAAGGAAAATATGGGCTTGGAGCCCCCACACAGGAGGTTACCATCCTCCAGACCCCAGATTTATAGACCCACCAACAGCTTGCACCCTCAGTATGAAAAAGCTACAGGCACTCAACACCAGCCCAGCCCATGAGAGCCACCAAGGGACTAAACCCTGCAAAGCCACAGGTGCACCGCCCTAGTAGAGGTTTTCCATGAGGCTCTGCCTCTGCAGGAGGCTACTCCCACATCCTACTACCCACCACCCTCTCACAGTTTACTGCCAACCTACTCCTCCCCACCCTACCCACTTCTTTTTCCTTCTACCCGCAACCCCCTCCCATCCATGATTCAATCAGCTCCCACCAGGCCCCACCTCCAACATTCAGGAATACAATTTCCCATGATCTTTTGTAGGAAAACACCACCAAACCATATTACTCTGACCCTGACACCCCTGAATCTCATGTCCTTCTCACAGAGTAAAATACAAACAAGCCTTTTCAGAAGTTTCCAAAAGTCTTAACTCATTCCAGCAGTAACTCAAATGTAAAAAGATTAAAGTCTCATCCAACACGAGGCTGCAGTCCCTTCTGCTTCTGAGTCCCTGAATGTAAAAGGGAGTGCTTCTCTTTCATGACATAATGATGGTACAGGCATCGGGTAAGCTTTCTCAGTCCAATGGGAAGAAATTTTCCAGAAAAATAACACAACTGGGACACAGGTCCAATGCAAGCCCAAAAGCCAGGAGAGTATGTACGCATTCATCACGAGAACTCACTTTCACACAGACAGCATTAAGGAGATACTGTTTAACCATTTGTGAAAGATCTGCCCCCCCAGCCCCATCTTTCACCCCCACCCCCAGCATAAACCCCCCAAACTTACCACACCCTCACTTCCAATCCCTACTCTCCGCCATGATTAAATCACCATCTACCAAGCACCACTTTTAACATTCCCCATCACAATTCTACATGAGTTTTGGTTGGGGCACAGAGACAAATCCTATTGTTCTGCCCCTGGCCTTCCAAATCTCATGTTACTTTCACTTTGCAAAATACAGTGATGCCTTCTCTACAGTCCCCCAAAGTCTTAACTCATTCCAGCATTTACTCAAATGTCCAAAGCCCAAAGTCTCATCTGAGACAAGGCTGCAGTCCCTTCTATCCCTGAGCCTCTGAAATACAAAGCAAGTTAACTACTTTCAAGGTACAATGCTTGTCCAGCCATTGGGTAAGCATTCTCAGCCAAAAGGAAGAAATTTGCCGGAAAGAAGCACAAAACACAGATGGGACTTACAGACCCCACGCAAGTCAAAAACCCAGCAGGCCAATCATTCCATCATAGAGCTCCATGTCATATTTTTTGAATCTACATCCCACATCCAGAGCAGAGGGTGGTTTGATGGCTGGTCTCCCAAAGCCTTGGGCAGCTCAGCACCTGTGGTATGGCAAGGTCTTTCCCCAAAGCTGCCCTCATGGGCTGGGCTGCTGTTGAGTGCCAGCAGCTTTTTAACACTAAGGGTGCAAGCTGTTGGTGGGTCTATGAATCTGGGGTCTGGAAAATGGTGCCTCCCAGTGTGGGGGCTCCCACCATATATGTTCCTTCTATACCATCCTTGTAGAGGTTTACCATGAGGCTCTGTCTGTTGGAAAAGCTTCGCCTGGAAACCCAGGATTTTCCATACATACTCTGGAGTCTAGAAGATGAAGACTCCAAAGTTTCTAGTCTTGTGCTCTGTGCACCTGCTGACTTAACACTATGTGGAAGCCACCAAGGCTTGGAGCTTGCACCCCTGAAGCAGTGACCCAAGCTGTACCTGTGCATCTTTCAGCCATGGCTGCAGCAGGAGCTACAGGGATGTAGGCAGCAGTGTCCTGAGGCTACACACAGCAGGGGACCATGGGGCTGGGCCAGGAAACCATTCTGTCCTAGAAAACCATTCTTCTGTCCTAGGCTTCAGGGCCTGTACAGCAAGGGCTGCTGCAAAGGTCTCTGAAATGCCTTCAAGGCCTTTTCCCTGTTGTCTTGGCTATTAGCACTGGGCTCCATTTTATGCAAGCTTCTGAAGCTGTCTTGAATTTTCCCACTGAAAATCAGCTTTTCTTTTTGACCACTTGACCAGGCTGCAAATTTTTCAAACTTTTAAGCTCTGCTTCTCATTTAAATATGTTTCTAACTGAGGTCATTTATTTGGTCACACAGAAGACCAGGACACAGACAGGACACCTCTTGAGCTTTGCTGCCAAAAGTTCATTCTGCTGGATACACCCGAAACATCACCCTCAAGTTCAAAGTTTCACAGATCTCCAGGTTAGGGGCATCATGCAGTGACATTCTTTGCTAAAGCAAAACAAATGTAACCTTGGCTCCTGTTCCCAGTAAACTCGTCATTTTCATCTGAGACCTTCTAAGCCTGGCCTTTACTGTCCATCCTTCTGTCACCCTTTTAATTATAACTATTTAACAAGTCTCTACAATGGTCCAGACTTTCCCTCATCTTCCTGTCTTCTTCCAAGTCCTCCAAACTCTCCAACCTCTGGCTGTTACACAATTCTCAACCTGCTTCTACATTTTCAGCTCTCTTTGTTGCAGCCTGTCAGTGTGGTAAAAGAAGAAAAGTCCATTTACGGGGGGAAAATTCATGCAGGCTACAGATATTTGCATGAAAAGAAGCTGAGAGCTGATTACCAAGACAAGAAGGAAAAGACCTTGAAGGCATTTCATACCTCCACTTCAGAGCACTAATTTTCTGTAAGATCATAAAGAAAAGATGTTGAACTGGCTCATGGCTCTGCAGGCTTTAAAGGAATCATAGAGGCTCCTGCTCCTAGGAGGAATCAGGAAGCCTCCCAATCATACCAGAAGACCAAGCAGCAATGGGCTATTTTATATGGCAGAAGTAGGAGCAAGACAGAGAGAGGAGAAGGTTCCACACCGTTATACAATGAGATCTCATTGGAACTCAGTATCACAAGGTCAGCATCAAGAAGATGGTGTTTAACCATTGGTGAAAGATCCACCCCCTACCACCCCCCCACCCCCCACTGTTTCCAGGCAGAAGCCTGTTGCAGAGGCAGAGCCTCTTGCAAAACCTTACGAGGGCAGTGCAGAAGGAAAATATGGGCTTGGAGCCCCCATGCAGGAGGCCACCATCCTCCAGACCCCAGATTCATAGACCCACCAACACCTCACATTCTCAGTGTGGAAAAGCTACAGGCACACAAGAACAGGCCAGCCCATGAGAGCAGCCATGGGGCTAAATCCTGCAAAGCCACAGGTGCACTTCCTAGTAGAGGTTTTCCATGAGCCTCTGCCTCTGCAGGAGGCTACTCCCCCTTCCTACTACCCACCACCCTCCCACCACCCTACTGCCAGCCTACACCTCCCGACCCTACACACTTGTTTTTCCTTCCACCCCCACCAATCTCCCATTTATGGTTCAATCACCTCCCACCAGGCTGCACTTCCAACATTCGGGAGCACAATTCCCCATGAGTTTTTGTAGGTAAACACAGCCAAACCATTTTATTCTGACCCTGAGACCCCCTAATCTCATGTCCTTCTCACAGAGCAAAATACAAACGTGCCTTTTGAAAAGTTTCCAAAAGTCTTAACTCATTCCAGCAGTAACTCAAATGTAATAAGTTCAAGCTTCATCCAGGACAATGCTGCAGTCCCTTCTGCCTATGAGTCCCTGAAGGGAAATGGGCGTTCTTTTCTTTCAAGTTACTTTCAAGTTACAGTGATGGGTAAGCTTTCTCAATCCAAAGGGAAGATTTTCCCAGAAAAATAACACAATTGGGACACAGGCCCAATGCAAGCCCAGAAGCCAGCAGGAGAGTATTCATTTATCATGAGAACTCACTATCACACAGACAGGATTAAGGAGATAGTGTTTAACCATTTGTGAAGGATCTGCCCCTGTCTCCATGTTTCACGACCACCCCCACCATGAACCCCCATTCTTCTCACACCCACACTTCCAACTCCCACTGTCCACCATGAATAAATCACCTTCCACCAAGCCCCAGCTTTAACATTCCCCATTACAATTACACATGAGTTTTGGTAGAGGCACAGAGCCAAATCATATTATTCTGCCCCTGGCCCCCCAAATCTCATGTCCTTCTCACACTGCAAGATACAATGATGCCTTCTCTACAGCCCCACAAAGTCTTAACTCATCCCAGCATTTACTCAAATGTCCAAAGCCCAAAGTCTCATCTGAGACAAGGCTACAGTCCCTTCTATCCCTGAGCCTCTGAAATACAAAGCAAGTTAACTACTTCCAAGGTATAATGCTTGTCCAGGCATTGGGTAAGCATTCCCAGACAAAAAGAAGAAATTTGCCAGAAAGAAGTGCAAAACACAGATGGGACTTACAGACTCCATGCAAGTCAAAAACCTAGCAGGCCATTCATTCTATCCTACAGCTCCAAATAATCTTTTTTGAAACTACGTCTCACATCCAGACCACAGGGTGGTGAGATGGCTGGGCTCCCAAGGCTTTGGGCAGCTCAGCACCTGTGGCATGGCAGGGTCTTTCCCCAAAGCTGCCCTCAATGGCTGGGCTGCTGTTGAGTGCCAACAGCTTTTCAACACTAAGAGTGCAAGCTGTTGCTGGGTCTATGAATCTGGGGTCTGGAAAATGGCACCTCCCTGTATGGGGGCTCCAACCCTATATGCTTGTTCTGCAATGCCCGAGTAGAGGTTTACCATGAGGCTCTGCCTGTTGGAAAAGCTTCTGCCTGGACACCCAGGCTTTCCCATACATGTTCTGGAGTCTAGACAAAGGCTCCCAAGCCTCTAGTTTTGTGCTGTGTGCACCTGCTGGCTTAACACTATGTGGAAGCCACAAAGACTTGGAGCTTGCACCCCTGAAGCAGTGACCCAAGCTGTACCTGTGCATCTTTCAGCCATGGCTGGAGCTGGAGATGAAGGTGTAGGGGTGCAGGCAGCAGTGTCCTGAGGCTGCACATAGCAGTGGGGCCATAGGGCTGGCCCAGAAAAAACATTCTTTTTTCCTAAGCCCCAGGGCCAGTGACAACAAGGGCTGCTACAAAGGTCTTTGAAATGCCTTCGAGGCCTTTTTTCCCATTGTCTTGAATTATTAGCACTGGGCTCCTTTTTTATGCAAATATCCAAAGGCTTCTGGAATTTTCTCCCTGAAATTCAGCTTTTCTTTTTGACCACTTTGCCAGGTTGCAAATTTTCCAAAGGATTAAGCTCTGCTTCTCATTTAAATATAAGTTTCAACTCAAGGTCATTTCTTTGGTCACACATAATACCACAGGCTGTTCGACGTAGGCAGGACAACTCTTGAGCTTTGCTGCTTAGAAGTTCATTCCACCAGATAGACCCTAAATCTTCACCCTCAAGTTCAAAGTTTCCCAGATCTCCAGAGCAGGGACACTGTGCAGCCAAATTCTTTGCTAAGGCAAAACAACAAAACCTTGGCCCCTGTTCCCAGTAAGTTTCTCATTTTCATCTGAGACCTTCTAAGCCTGGCCTTCACTGTCCATCCTTCTGTCAGCCTTTTAATCACAACTAACAAGTCATTACAATGGTCCAAACTTTCCCTCATCTTCCTGTCTTCTTCCAAGCTCTCCAAACGCTCTAACCTCTGGCCATTACTGAATTCTGAACCTGCTTCTACATTTTCAGCTATCTTTGTCACAGCCTGGCAATGTGGTAAAAGAAGAAAAGTCCATTATCAGGGGAAAACTTCAAGAAGGCTTCAGATATTAGCATCAAAGAAGCCCAGTGCTAACAGCCAAAAGATTGGGGAAAAGGCCTTGAAGGCATTTCATAGCTTCACTTCACAGCATTGATTTTCTGCATGTACATAAAGAAAAGAGGTTGAATTGACTCACAGTTCTGGAGGCTGTAATGAAAGCATAGTGGTTTCTGCTTTTAGGAGGACTCAGGAAGCCTCCCATTTATACCAGAAGGCCAAGCAGCAATGAAATGTTTCATATTCCAGGAGTAGAAGCAAGACAGAGGAAAGATGCCACATCCTGTTATACAACCAGATCTCGAGAGAACTCAGTATCAGGAGATCAGCATCAAGAAGATGGTGCTTAACTATTGGTGAAGGATCCACCCAATACCCCACATCCACCCCCCAGTGTTTCCAAGCAGAAGTCTGAGGCAGAGGCAGAGCCTCTTGGAAAATCTCTACTAGGGCAGTGCAGAAGGAAAATATGGGTTTGGAGCCCCCACGCAGGATACCACCATCCTCCAGACCCTAGAGTCATAGACCCACCTAAAGCTCCCACCCTCAGTATGGAAAAGCTACAGGCACTCAACACCAGCCCAGTCCATGAGAGCAGCCATGGGGGCTAAAGCCTGCAAAGCCACAGGTGCACTGCCCTAGTAGAGGTTTTCCATGAGCCTCTGCCTCTGTAGCAGGCTACTCCCACTTCCTACTACCCACCACCCTCACACCACCCTACAGCCAACCTACTCCTCTGACCTTACCCACTTCTGTTTACTTCCAACTCCACCCCTCTCAAGTACAGGAATAAATCACCTCCCACCAGGCCATACCTGCAACATTTGGAATTACAATTTCCCATGTGTTTTGGTAGAGACACACAGCCAAACCATATTATTCTGACCCTGATCCCCCGAATATCATATCCTTCTCAGCGAGTAAAATACAATCTTGCCTTTTCAAAAGTTGCCAAAAGCCTTAACTCATTCCAGCATTAACACAAATGTAAAAGGTTCAACATCTCATCTGAGAAAAGTCTACAGTCCCTTTTGCCTATGAGTCCCTGAATTTAAAAGGGAGTTCTTTTTTTCAAGGTACGATGATGGTACAGGCATTGGGTAAATTTTCTCAATCCAAAGGCAAGATATTTGTCAGGAAAGTAACACAAATGGGATCACAGGCCCAGTACAAGTCCAAAACCAAGCAGGACAGTATCTATTCAATCTTACAGCTCCAGAATCATCACGAGAACTCACCATCATGAGGAAAGCATTAAGGAGACGGTGTTTAACCATTTGTGAGGGATCCTCCCCAACACCCACCTTTCACCCCTCACCCCCACCATAATCCCCCCATCCTCCCCAATCCCCACCTTCCAACCCCCACTGCCCTCCATGATTAAATCACCTTCCACCTGGCCCCACTTTTAGCATTTCCAATTACAATTCCAAATGAGTTTCTGTAGGGACACACAGCCAAATCTTATTGTGTCCCTGCCTCCCCCAATCTCATGTACTTCTCACTTTGCAAAATACAATGATGCCTTACCTACAATCCCACAAGGTCTTAACTCATTCCAGCATTTACTCAAATGTCCAAAGCCCAAAGTCTCATCTGAGACAAGGCAGTCTCTTCTGCCCCTGAGCCTCTGAAATACAAACAAGTTAACTACTTCCAAGGTACAATGATTGTCCAGGCATTAAGATTTCCCAGCCAAAAGGAAGATTTTTGCCTGAGAGAACAAAACACAAATGGGACTTACAGGCTCCATGAAAAGTCCAAAACCCAGCAGGCCAGTTATTCAAACCCACAGCTCAAAAGTCATCCTTTTTTAATCCTTGTCCCACATCCAGGGCACAAGGGCGTGAGGGCTGGGCTCCCAAGGCCTTGGGCAGCTCATCTGTGGCTTTGCAGTGTTCAGCCTGTGCAGCTGCCCTCATGGGCTGTGCTGGTGTTGAGTGCCTGGGGTTCTTAACCCATGGAGGGTGCAAAGCTCTTGGTGGGTCTATGAATCTGGGGTCTTCATGATGGTGGCCTCCAGTGTGGGGGCTCCAACCCCATATTTTCCTTCTGCACTGCCCTAGTAGAGGTTTCCCATGAGGCTCTGCCTTTTTGGCAGCCTTCTGTCTGGACACCCAAGCACTTTTATATATCTTCCAAAATATATATGGAGGATCTCAAGCCTCTGAACTAGTGCTCTGTGCACCCACTGGCTTAACACTGTGTGGAAGCCACCAAGGCTTATAGCTTGCACCTTCTGAAGCGGTGTCCCAAGCTGTACCTGTGCGTCTTTGAGACAAGGCTGGAGCTGGAGCTGCAGGGATGCAGGCAGCAGTATCCTGAGGCTGCACACAGCAGCAGAGCCATGGGGATGGCCCAGGAAACCATTCTTTCTCCTAGGTCCCAGGGCCTGTGACAGAAAGGGCTACTGCAAACATCTCTGAAATGCCTCCAAGGCTTTCTCCCCCATTGCGTTGGCTATTAGCACTGGCCTTCATTTCATGCAAATTTTTAAAGCCATCATGAATTTTCCCTCTGAAAATCAGCTTTTGTTTTGACCATTTGGCCAGGCTGCAAATGTTACAAACTTTTGAGCTCTGCTTGTCATTTAAATATAAGTTGCAACTTGAGGTCATTTCCTTGGTCACACATAAGGGCACAGGCTGTTTGACATAGAGAGGGCACGTCTTGAGATTTGCTGCCTAGATGTTCATTCCACCAGATATGCCCTGAATCATCAACCTCAAGTTTAAAGTTTCACACATCTCCAGGGCAAGGTCACCCTGCAGCCACGTTCTTTGTTACAGCAAAACAAAAGTAACCTTGGCTCCTGTTCCCAGTAAGTTCCTCATTTTCATCTGAGACCTCATAAGCCTGGCCTTCACTGTCCCTCCTTCTGTCAGCATTTTAATCACAAGTATTTAACAAGTCTCTACAATGGTCCAAACTTTCCTTCATCTTCCTGTCTTCTTCCAAGTCCTCCAAACTCTCCGACCTCTGGCTGTTAGCCACTTCTGAACCTGCTTTTATATTTTCAGCTATCTTTGTCACAACCTGGCAATGTAGAAGGAAAAAAAGTCCATTTTCAGGGGCAAACTTCAAGAAGGCTTCAGATATTTGCATTAAAAGGAAGACCAGTATTAATAGCCAATGTGATGGGGAAAAGTCATTGAAGACATTTAATAGCTTCAATTCGCATAGTAATTTTCTGTAAGATCATAACAAAAAGGGGTTTAATTGGCTTATAGTTCTGCAGTAGGCTGTAAAGAAAGCATAGTAACTTCTGTTTCTGGGAGGACTCAGGAGGCCTCTCAATTATACCAGAAGGACAAGCAGCAATAAAATGTTGCATATGGCCAGAGTAGGAGCAAGACAGAGAGAGGAAAGAGGTGTCACAGACTGTTATACAACCAGATCTCTTGAGAACTCAGTATCACAAGGTCAGCATCAAGAAGATGGTGCTTAATCATTGGTGAAAGATCCACCCCCCAACACACTTCCACCCCCCACTGTTTCCAGGCAGAAGCCTGCTGCAGAGGCAGAGCCTCTTGGAAAATATGGGCTTGGAAGGAAATATGCAGAAGGAAAATATGGGCTTGGAGCCCCTATGCAGGAGGCCACCATCCTCCAGACCCCAGATTCATAGACCCAACAACAGCTCATACTCTCAGTATGGAAAAGGTACAGGCACTAAACAACAGCCAAGCCCATGAGAGCAGCCACGGGGCTAAAGCCTGCAAAGCCACAGGTGCACTGTCCTAGTAGAGGTTTTCCATGAGCCTCTGCCTCTGCAGCAGGCTACTCCCCCTTCCTACTACCCACCACCCTATGGCCAGCCTATTCCTCCCCACCCTCCCCGCCCCTTTTTCCTTACACCCCCACCCTCCTCCCATCCAGGATTAAATCACCTCCCACCAGGCTTCACCTCCAAAATTCAGGATTACACTTCCACAGAGTTTTTCTAGGGAAACACAGCCAAACCATAGTATTCCGAACTTGACCCTTCCAAATCTCATGTCCTTCTCACAGGGTAAAATACAATCATGCCTTTTCAAAAGTTTCCAAAATCCTTAACTCATTCCAGCATTAACTCAAATATAAAAAGTTCAAAGTCTCATCCGAGACAAGGCTACAGTCTCTTATGCCTATGAGTCTCTGAAGTTAAAATGGAGTTCATTTCTTTAAAGGTACAATGATGACACAGGTATTGGGTAAGCTGTCTTAATCCAAGGGGAAGAAATTTCCCAGAAAAATAACACAAATGGGACCAGAGGCCCAATGCACATCCAAAACCCAGCAGAACAGTATTCATTCAATCTCACCACCACAAAATCATGAAGAGAACTATCACAAGGACAGTATTAAGGAGATTGTGTTTAACCATTTGTGAAGGATCTGCCCCCCACCCGCCTTTCACCCCCAACCCCACCACAATTTTCCCCATTTCGCCCCACCACCCCCACCTTCCAACCTCCACTCTCCACCACGATTAAATCACCTTCCACCTGTCCCCCACCTTTAACATTTCCCATTACAATTCCACATCAGTGGGACACAGAGCCAGATCATATTCTTCTGTCCCTGCCCCTGCAAATCTGTCTTTCTCACATTGCAAAATACAATGATGCCTCTCCTACAGTCCCCCAAATCTTAACTCATTCCAGCATTTACTCAGATGTGTAAAGCCCAAAGTTTCATCTGAGACAAGGATACAGTCCCTTCTGCCCATAAGTCTCTGAATTATAAAGCAAGTTAACTACTTCCAAGGTACAATGATTGTACAGGCAATGGGTAAGCACTCCCAGCCAACAGAAGAAAAATTGCCAGAAACAAAAACAAAACACCGATGGGACTCACAGGATACATGAATGTCCAAAACGCAGTAGGCCAGTCATTCAATCCTACAGCTCCAAAATCATCCTTTTGGAATCCTTGTCCCACATCCATGGCACAGGAGTGTGAGGGCTGGACTCCAAAGGCTTTGGGCAGATCTCCACCTGTGGGTTTGCAGTGATCAGTCCCCGCAGCTGCCCTCATGGATGGGGCTGGTGTTGAGTGTCTGTAGCTTTCCCACATTGAGGGGGCAAGCTGTTGGTGGGTCTATGAATCTGGGGTTTGAAGGATGGTGCCTCCCTGTGTGAGGGCTTCAACCTGATACATCCCTTCTTTCCTGCCCTAGTAAAGGTTTCCCATGAGGCTCTGCCTCTTGGAAAGGCTTCTGCCTGGACACCCAGGCTTTTCTGTACATCCTCTGGAGTCTAGACAGAGGCTCCCAAGCCTCTAGTCTCTTGCTCTGTGCACCTCCTGGCTTAACACTATGTGGAAGCCATCAAGGCTTGGAGCCACCTCTGAAGCAGTGACCCAAGCTGTACCTGTGCATCTTTCAGCCATGGCTGGAGCCGGATCTGCAGGGATGCAGGCAGCAGTGTCCTGAGGATGCACACAGCAGCCAGGCCATGGAGCTGGCCCAGGAAACAATTCTCTCCTTGTCCCCAGGGCCTATGACAGCAAGGGCTGCTGCAAAGGTCTCTGAAATGCCTTCAAGGCCTTTTCCCCATAGTCTTGGCTATTTGCACTGGGCTCTTTTTTTATGCAAATACTTTAAGTGCTCTTGAATTTTCCCCCTGAAAATCAGCTTTCCTTTTTGACCACTTGGCTAGGCTGCAAACTTTTCAAATTTTTGAGGTCTACTTCTCATTTAAATAGAAGTTGCAGCTTGAGGTAATTTCTCAGGTCACACATAAGAACACAGGCTGTTGGATGTAGAGAGGACACCTCTTGAGCTATGCTGCCTAGATGCTCATTCCACCAGATACATCCTAAATCGTTACTCCCATGTTCACAGTTTCAGAGCTCTCCAGGGCTAAGGCCAATCAAATGTAACCTTGGCTCTTGTTCACAAGATGTTCCTCATTTTCATCTGAGACCTTTTAATTCTGGCCTTCACTGTCCATCTTTCTGTCCTTCTGATCACAAGTATTTAACAATTATTTTCAGTGGTCCAAAATTTTCCTCATCATGCTGTCTTCTAAGTGTTCCCAACTCTTCTGACCTCTCTTTTTTACCCACTTCTGAACCTGCTTCTACATTCTCAGATATCTTTGTCACAGCCTGGTAATGTGGTAAAACAAGAAAAGTCCATTTTCAGGGGAAAAATTCACAAAGGCTTCAGATATCTTCATGAAAAGAAGCTGAGTACTGGTTACCAACACAATGGGGAAAAGGCCTTGAAGGCATTTCATAGCTCCACTTCACAGCACTAATTTTGTGTACAATCATAAAGAAAGAGGTGTAATTGGCTCACGGTTCTGCAGGCTGTAAAGGAAGCATAGTGGCTTCTGCTTCCGGGAGGACTCAGGAAGCCTCCCAATCATACCAGAAGGCCAAGGGGCAAGGAAATGCTTCATGTGGCAGCAGTAGAAGCAAGACTGAGAGAGGAAAGAGGAGCCCGCCCTGTTATACAACCAGATCTCATGAGAACTCAGTATCACAAGGTCAGCATCAAGAAGATGGTGCTTAACCACTGGTGAAGGATCTGCCCCCGCAACCCCCACCTCCACCTCCCACTGTTTCCAGGCAGAAGCCTGCTGCAGAGGCAGAGCCAGATTCATAGACCCACCAACAGCTTGCACCCCCACTGTGGAAAAGCTACAGGCACTCAACAGTAGCCCAGTCCATGAGAGCAGCCGTGGGGGCTAAAACTTGCAAAGCCACAGGTGCACTGCCCTAGTAGAGGTTGTCCATGAGGCTGTGCCTCTGCAGCAGGCGACTCCCCACTCCCACTACACCCCACCCTTCCACCACCCTACACCAGCCTACTCCTCCCCACCCTGCCCACCTCTTTTTCCTTCCACCCCACCCGCCTCCCATCCGTGATTAAATCACTCCCACCAGGCCCTCATCTTTTTGTCATTTTCCAATCCCTGCAAACCCTCCCAATCTTTGTTTGTTACCCACTTCTGAACCTGCTTCTACTTTTTCAGGTATCTCTATAGCAGGTTGGCTATGTAGTAATAACACAAAACCCGATTTAAGGGGGAACATTCAAGAAGACTTCAGAAATTTGCATATAAAGAAGCCCTGTGCTAATGGCCAAGACAAATGGAAAAAGGCCTTGAAGACATTTCACAGCTCCTCTCTGCAGTTCTAATTTTCTGTATTATCCTAAATAAAAGAGGTTTCATTGACTCAGGGTTCTGCAGGCTGTGAAGGAAGCATAGTGTCTTTTGTTTCTGGGAGGAGTCAGGGAGCCTCCTAATTATACCAGAAGGCCAAGGGACAATCAGCTGTCTCCTATGGCAGGAGTAGGAGGAAGACAGAGTGAGGAAAGAGGTTCCACAGCCTGTTAAACAACCAGATCACATGAAAACTCACTCACTATCAGGAGGACAGCATCAAGGGGATGGTGCTTTATCATTCGTGGAGGATCTACCTGCACCATTTTATGACTAAATCTTTTTCCACCTAGGCCCCACCTCTAACGTTAGGGAGTATAATTCCACACGGGTTTTGATAGGGATATAGAGACAAACCATATTATTCTGTCCCTGACCCCACGAATCTCTTGTCCTTTTCACATTGCAAAATACAATCATGCCTTCCCAGCATGAGTCTTAACTCATTTCAGCATTAACACAATGTTACAAAGTCCAAAGTCTCATCTGAGTCAAGGCTGCAGCCTCTTTTGCCTATAAGCCTCTGAAATAAAATGCAAGATCACTGCTTCTAAGGTACAGGGGTGGTACAGGCATTGTGTAAGCTTTCCATATCCAAAAGGAAGACATTTTCCAGAAAGCTTCTTATTTCTATCTGAGACCTCCTCAGCCTAGCCTTCACTGTCCATGTTTCTGTCAGGATTTTGGTCACAACCATTTAACCAGTCTCTAAGATGGTCCAAACTTTCTCATCTGTCTTCTTTTGAGCCCTCCAAACTCTTCCAACCTCTGTCCATTACCTAGTTCCAAAGCTGCTTCCACATTTTCAGGTATCTTTATAGCAATGCTCCAGTCCTCATTTGCCATTTTCTGTATGATTCATTATGAAAAAGAGGTTTAATTGGCTCATGGTTCTGCAGGGTGGACAGGAAGCACAGGGCTTCTGCTTCTGGTAGGCCTCAGAAATCTTTCAATCTTTGTGCAAGGCAAAGAAAGAGTGAGTTGTCTCACACGGCAAGAGGAAAACATGCAGAGTAGGGAGGTGACATAGAGTTTTCAATGACCAGGTCTCATGAGAAGTCACTCAGGCTTTATCCAGCCAGCTTCTTTGAGACTCTTCACAGGGTTTGAGGTCTACAGCATATACATGAAAATATTCATACTTCAAAAAGCAATAAAGTAAGTGGTATCATTCTTCCAAAAGTTACAATGGTAGTGTAGGAATTCATAGCATGGTTTAGGTCATGTTTGCTACTGTTTCTATTCTATCGCCATATTAACTGTTTCCTACACAATTCTATATTCAGCTGAGTTTCAATTGAGAACAAAGCCATCCTTGTACTACCGCCAATACCTGGCACTAGCTCTTTGCTAGTGTTATTATTCTGCTGTAGAAAGCATCCTTGAACTGGAAACAGTGCACAATCGAGTATCTAGTCATTCAACACTATCAATTCCTGGGTGACCTTTTGAAAAAATAGTATCTCTTGTTGCAAGAAATCCTGCATCTGTGAGTCCATGTTTCTCACCGGAATTGGATGGAAGTGGTGAATTTCAGCCACAGTGTCCAAAGAAATCCTGTTCCTGTGATTCTGACATCATCAGCCTCTGCACCTCTGTCTTCCCTTCTGCCACATGTTGCCTGCTCTCCATGACTTTGGTAAGAGCTTCCTTGTGTATGTGGATGATGTCCGGGATGTTGACCTGGTGTCCCTGAGACAGCACTAACAGGTCCATGACTGGGTCCAGTTCCTGGATGGGCTGATTGGCAGAGCTCACCAACGGTGTTGAAGGCATCTCTGGTGAAGTGATGGCCTGGCCCAGCTCCAAGACCTGGCTGAGGCTGAAGAACTGGCCACCTTCTGATGCTCCTTCTTAAAACCCATCACCATAATCTGCTTGCATGTCAACTCATTGGCTGAGAAGTTGAGCTGAGTGCCCTGTGTTTCTATCTTCTTGGTGAAGCACTCGAAGCCATCAATTTTGCTCTCCCACTCTTAAAGGTTGAGGGCCACCTTGGGGGTGGGCTCAGGGTCAGGAAGAAGCTGGAATTCACCACCTCATCCTTCTCAGCCTTCCTCTTGCCCTGTCTCCAGGCTGTCTCTTCAGTGCTGGTGTGACACATCAGGAAGTGATGGAAGATGTGGCACTGTGCCTGCACCCAAAAGCTGGCTGTGTGGTTCATCTACCAGATTGGGCCCTTTCTGCACTTGAACACGGAGTCCTTCTCAAGATGGCCTGTGGTCTGCCTCTTGGCACCCAAGAAGCCCACAGTTCTGTAGGAGCCCTCATGCATGGACTGGAGCCCCAAAGGCAGTGCACACCCTGCTCCTGAGCCTGCTGCTCATTTCCTCTATGTGGCTCCATCTGCAGCACAGTGGTTGCATTGAGGCCTGTGCATGCCAGGCAAGGCCAAGCTGGCTCAAAGAGCAACCAGCCACCTCTGCAAGGGTGTGCCAGGAGCAGGTGGACCAGCCACCAACCTCACTCGCTGCCAGTCAGGGTAAATCAGTTATTCTGCCCTGGAGGTAGGGCCCCAGTGCCATCTGCTTTTCCTCAGGCCTCCACTCCATCAGCCGTCAAGTGGCAGCCCCTCAGGCTGTGGGAACCTGGCCACCCCTGATTCCTTGAGTGGGTGAGGCTGGTGGCTGGTCCATCTGCTCCAGGCACACCCTTGCAGAGGTGGCTGGTTGCTCTTTGAGCCAGCTTGGCCTTGCCTGGCATGCACAGGTCCTGGGTACTGACACCCTGCTCTGAGTGAGCTTGTCCTGTCTTGGGCCAAATTCTAACTCTGGCCAGGGCCACAGAAGGCTGAGTTCCCTGGGTGGTAATGCTGACTGCTGCTGGGGGGCCCATAGTGCCCCTCCCCTCCCAGGGCCCAGGATGAGGCCTGACTGGGCCAGGACCCTTTAGGTATGGATCTCATTCCCAAGCAGGGGGCCTCTGTCCCACAGGTTGGATGAGAAGATGCTGCTGGCTGCCAGGGTTGTTCAGATGCCACGTTCACCCTTCCCTCCAGGGACATCAAAGTTTCCAGCTTCCCCTTTGAGAATGACTTCCCAAGGCCCAGGTGCCATCTGGGGCTGCAGGGCAGCTGGCTGCATGCTGCCCTGGCTTCTTCCATGTTGGGCTGGTCACTACCCACCAAGGGGGGTCAGATGCAGGCACCAAGTAGGGCGGTTGTCTCTGGACCTGCATCTTGGTTATCATGGAGCCAGACTGGGCCTGGTGACAGGGCCATGATGGGGTTGTCCTGGTGGTCCTGGGGGTGTCCAGAGGAGATGCAGAATGGAATTGCTGCAAGGATGAATGAGATGACTGTCAGCACAGAACAGGCACCCGGTGAGTGCTCAGGTATTACCCTCAGTAGCTGCCCAGAGGCCAAAACCACCCACTTGATAGTGACTGTCCCCAAGCCAGGAGGAAGAGAAGAGAGCAGGTCCCACTCACCTGAGTCTGAGCAGTCAGCTGTGTTGAGATGTGCATCTCACCTAGAAAACAATCCTTCACGCAGAGCCACTCACAGAGACTGCTGTGTGTCTCTAACTGCTCCAAAACACAGAGGCGATGGGGACTCAGCAAGAGTGACATCGTGGGATGACACAACCCACCACAACAGGAGCCTGCTTGGGTCAAGAGGGCCCAGAGTCAGTGTCCTCTATCCCCTGAACTGACATGTGTGCATGCATTGTGTTTGTGTATGCATGTGTTTGTGTGTGTCTGTACATATGGGTGTGTTTGTTTGTCTTGCTTCTCTGGCCAGGCCTAGCTGCTCCACTCACAGGTGCACCCAGGTCCTCATCACTGTCACCACCAGGGCCCAGGGCCAGGATTAGAGCCTCCCACAGGTGCTCCCCAATTTCTGCCCTCTCCACCAAGGGTGGTCCTAGGGATGCAGACAGAGGAGGGGCGCCGAGCAGAGCAGAGAGGGCTGGCACCCTCTCTAGGTGGAACCCAGGTCGTGTGTAAAGTTGGAGGTCTCCCAAGCAGTGCTGAATTCAATACATCTTCTCACGTTCCCTTTCCAGGCACCCTCCAGGGTGCCCTGACTCACCTTCCCTACAGATGGAGGCAAGGAGACTCCACAGAAAAAACCCCTGCCTGAGGTCACACATCGGCTAACTGGCCAGGTTCCTACTGACCAGGTGCCCCCAACGAGGCCCCTAATGAGCACTCCTCCATTGACCAGGCCCCACTGACCAAGTCCCCACGGACCATGTCTCCGTAACCAGGCCCCCATTAGTAGGCCTCATGGACCAGACCCCACTGACCAATTTCCCACTGACCTGGTCCCCACTGACTGGGTTCCCACTGACAAGACCACAATTTACCAGGTTGCTGCTCACCTCACCCCCACTGAATAATTCTCCATGGATCAGTCCCCAGCCGACTGAGCCCCCTCTGACCAGGCTCTCACTGACCAGGCTCCAAGCCACTAAGGCCCCACACTGACCAGACCCCTAATATACTGAATACACCCCACCGACCAGTTTTTTATTGTTTATGTTCCAACCGATCAGGCCCCACTAATAAGGCCACCACTGACCAGGTCCCCACTGACTAGGCTTCCGATGACTAGGTCACAAGGTACCCACTGGGTGAGGCCTTCACTGAGGAGGCCACCGCTAACCAGGTCCCTGCTGATCAGGTCCCAACTGGCCAGGTCCTGATGGCTAGGTCATCTCTGACCATGGTCCACTGATGAGGCCCTTGAGCAGCTGTGTTCAAAGTCTCATTACAATGCTGCCATCAGCCCACAGACCCTCCCTCCCTGCATGTGTGCCCAGGGGTCAGGCCCGGGGGGTTTTCTTGGGCTGCAAGGCCTCTCCTCCAAGACACAGGGAGGGAGTCAGCCTCAGGCTCCAGGTACCCAGCTTCACACTCACCCCGCAAGGCCCTCTGGGCCCATCTGAAAGGAGACAATGAGGTGGCCTGGCACTGCCTGGACATGCCATCTTCCCTATTCCTGAGTGTCAGAGTGGGAGGAAGGGAGGGACATTTGGCAGACAAGACACCCTGTGCTGCTGGGTCTCCCAGGGCCCTTCCCACAGAGCCCCGATCTAGAGACACAGCACAGAGGCTGCAGAGAGACTAATCAAGAACCCTTGAGGCTGAGCCAGGGACCACATGAGGACTGTCCCCAGACAGCTAGAAGGCCCTTTGCTAGTTTCTTGGTACCTCAGTGGATGCGACAGTGGTTCTTCTGTTGGGGACTAGTGAGCGCATGATGGGAAGAGCTCGCCTGTGCTTCCTCGGTGGCTCCAACTCTGCTTTTAAGAAAAATTACTCATTCTAGGGTTGCCGCAGAGAAAATACAACATTAGTTTAGAACACCTTGTGCCAGAAAGTAAAAAAGTGCTGACAGAGTAATGGGGACAAATCAAAAAGACATAAAGTCAGCTTGAAATGTCTACCACTGGCCTAATCTTTGGGAACTGGAGCACCAGAATCATGACTTTCCCTTCTCCTTTATTTATTGGTTTTATTTCTCCATGTAGAACAAAGAAGAAAATAAGAAAAATAATCATCTGGCAACCATCACAGTAATACTTGTTCAAACACAAGTCATCCATGAAATGCTAAATCTAGTGGGTTTTGAGGAGTAACCAGATATTTACAGAGCTTCAAAGTATCTCCACACAAAATACTATTGAACTACAAAAAGAAAATCATAACACTAGTATGGACAAACCTGGCAGATACTCTTTAAGTCTCCTACTATATATGGTAATAAAAAGTGTAAAATGCAAAGATGACCTTTACTACAGTATCAATGATGACTTGGTTGTTTGGCTGTTTAAACAGCTGACATTCAGGCAATTTGAGTAGGTCAAACTCAATAACACTGGTGTTCATTTGCAAGATCCACTTAAAACTTAAGGAGGCTAAAAAAATCATTTAAAATAACATATAAATATACATCATATGATATGAAAATATTCTACTTTAGTAAAGATTGTGATGTTTTATATTTTATGAGAAACAATTAAAATTTCATGTAAATAGCCCAGTAATAAAGTTTTATGATCTTTTAAATCATACAACTTTTCCTTAAGATTTTATGGTTAAATATTCTCTTCATTAGATGTGGCTTACCAGTGGATTCTAGAGAAGAAAGTAGATAGGAGCAAGGGCCCAACGCAGCAAAAGCTGGAAAGAAAAAGAAAGGATTATGTTCTTTACCTAAAACATTTCAGTTAACGAAGTGTAAGTTTAAAATGTAGAGTTGAGAACATTATCAGAGTTAATAAGAATGAGAAATATGTACGTGCAATTACAATACAAGATTACTATTAAATCATTTACACATGGCACTAATTCTAATTGTGGTTAAATATCACAGCTTTTTCATTCTTCATTCATGCACTCAACAGCCACGTGCTAAGGTACTAGAGCCAGCACTGGAATTACAAGATGAAGATGGCATGGTCCACCTCCCAATAGTCATATGCTATAACCTAAAAGACCGGCAGGTAATGTCCATATAGAGTCATAGATATCATGACAGGTATACAGCGGGGCACTACTGGAACACACAGAAGGGACATCTATCCCACTTTTGTGTCAATATCATGGGCTTTCTGGTGGAGGGGATACATAGGTTGATGACTGAAGGATGAGGAAAATCTTGCCAGAAAGAGGGAAGAGGCGAAGGCAAAGATCCTGAGGTAACAAAGAGCCCTGCGGAGTTCTACTCTGTCCACTTTGGTGCTAGAGCAAAGGGCAGAATGCAGTAAGTGGTGAGAGACAAGGCTGAGTAACCTGACAAGAATTACATTGACATGGGTGTTTTTATTTCATGGTGAAATTTCTGGAACTTTTCCTGAGAACAGATGTAAGCCAATTGATGCTTTTGTTTTTGGAGAATCGTTTCAGTGTGCTGGCTGACAGTTCCATGAGGACGGCAAAAGTGAAGAAATTGCAGAATCAGTAAAAAAGAGATGGATCCACTTCTTGGGAATTTTTTAAGCTATGGAACATGATGAATTAATGATGCATAAGTATACTCTTCACTGTGAAAGTTTTTGTTTTCACATCTTTCATTAGATGTGTGTAAGAAAAAGATACTGAATGTAGTATCTACTAACCCAACAATGAAAAGGAATGCCATTTGCTATTTACACTTTATTACTAAAATAAACCTAAATTTAATTAATACATTTTGGCAACATACTTTTCTTTGTTTCTGTAATTATTTGTTCTGCACAGTCCAGCTCCATCTAAAATAAGTAAAAAAAAAAATAATAATAATGTTTAAGTTAAACAAGAGACATTATCATGAGATTAACATATTACTTACAAAATGTGGCCTTTAGTATTTTTAGTGACTAGACATAACATGAAGTTTGCTTAAATAGAAAAATAATCACATAAGTAAAGTAAAATTTCTACTTATTCTAAGTTTAGATAATAGAGGATGTATCTGTGTAATGCTGTTTAGAGTAATCTGACAAAAATAGATAATATTGGTCTATCGGATATACATAATTTTAGAAAGGTGGTGTTTTATTAGTACAAAGGTTAAACAATGACCGGGCATGGCAGCTCACGCCTGTAATCCCAGCACTTTGGGAGGCAAATGTGGGCAGATCACGAGGTCAAGAGATCGCGACCATCCTGGCCAACATGATGAAACCCTATCTCTACTAAAAATACAAAAATTAGCTGGGTGTGGTGGTGCATGCCTCTAGTCCCAGCTACTCGGGAGGCTGAGGCAGGAAAATGGCTTGAACCCAGGAGGTGGAGGTTGCAGTGAGCCGAGATCATGCCACGGCACTCCAGCCTAGTGACAGAGCGAAACTCCATCTCAAAAAAAAAAAAAGAAAAAAAGGTTAAACAATTAAAGTCATATTTTGCAATGAATGCATTGCTTTGAAATTCTTAGCAAAAGTCTGTCCTTTATAAAAGTTTAATCCATTTTTTACTTCAATAAATTTTTTCTTAAAAAGAAATTTATATTCTTTACTTACTGAAAAAAATATGTATAGTAAAGTTTTCTTTTTTTTTTTCTAGTTTGTATTCTAAATTAAAGTGGTACCTGTGTAAGTTTCTTCCAAAAGTATATTGAGGAATGCTGAGGTTTGGAGTACAATTGAACCCATCACACAGGTAGTGAGCATAGGACCCAAGAAGCAGTTTTTCAACCCTGGCCCACTCTGTCCCTCCCCATTCTTATTTCCTGGTGTCTATTGTTCCCATGTTTATGTCAATGGGCACCTAATGTGTAGCTCCCACATATGAGTGCAAATGAGATATTTGGTTTCTGTTTCTGCGTTAGTTTGCTTAGGATAGTGGATTCCAGCTGTATCCATGTTGCTGCAAAGGACATGATTTTGTTCTTTTCATGGCTGCATAGTATTTGGTATATATGGAATTTTCCAATCTACCTTGGATTTTCAATCTACCTTGGGTGCACCTGGATTGACTCCATGTCTTTGTTATTGTGAATAGTGCTGCAATGAACATACATGTGCATGTATCTTTTTGTTACAATGATTTATTTTCCTTTAGGTATATCCCTAGTATAGTAATGGGGTTGCTGCATGTGGGATTACAGGTGCCTGCCACAACACCTGGCTAATTTTTGTAGTTTTAGTAGAGATGGGGTTTCATCATGTTGGCCAGGCTGGTATCAAACTCCTGTCCTCAGGAGATCTGCCTGCTTCAGCCTCCCAAAATGCTGGGATTACAGGCGTGAGCCACCACACCTGGCCAAGCACAAAGGTTTTAACAGAAAAATGGAAATGAACTTTCAGTGTTTTATTTAATTCATAAAATGCACTTATTTTGGGTTCTATTAAATAATAAATATCTATATGTTGTTAAGTGTTTGGTTGCCTGTCATTCGCTTGTGATTATGGGTGGAAAGAGTTAAGTTGGTGCAAATAAACTTTAAAAATAGTATGGGCTGGGCACAGAGGCTCACCCCTGTAATCCCAGCACTTTGGGAGGCTGTTGTGGGTGGATAACAAGGTCAGTTCGAGACCTGCCTGGCCAATATGGTGAAATCCTATCTCTACTAAAAATACAAAAATTAGCCAGGTGTGGTGGCAGGCACCTGTAGTCCCAGCTACTTGGGAGGCTGAGGCAAGAGAATCACTTGAACCCAGGAGGCGGAGGTTGCAATTAGCTGAGATCATGCCACTGCACTCTAGCCTAGGCAACAGAGTGAGACTCCATCTCAAAAAAAAAAAAAAAAAAAAAGTGATATGAACCACAGACAAACTACAGTCACGTAGAGTAAGACAAAGCATTTCAAAGTATACCATCAGTTATTAGGCAATAACATGCATTTTTTAAAACCTAACAAATGCAGCTTTTAGAGAAATTTTAAATGTGTCAGTTTAACCACATTTATTGAATAAAGTTAGCAAATGGGTGTCTCTTGAAAATGAGAGCTCCAGGGAATTAAAAAATGTAAAGTTTCCATTTCCTTTCTGTGTTAACACAGCTAATTATAATCTTTACTTAACATGCATAAGTCAACAGAACAACTCAGTATTTCACCAAATTATAAACAAGAATTATATTAGAGAAATGAAACCCAAAAGAGAAATGGTCATATAACTAACCTCAGTCAAGGAGTTCTTGCAGTTATTTGAAGTCTGTGGGTTTGAAGTAGGAATTCTTATGGCCATTTTGGGAATATATTTTCTGTTGAGTTCTATACTATTAAGATTTTCAACACAAGGTAACTCTGGGTCTGGCCTCATAGGAAGAGTGCTGAGAAAATATTCCATCCGCTCTTTCTCCATAAAGAGCTTGGTGCTGATCACAGCTATTTTCTTATCCGATCTGTAAAGAGAGCAAAGACAAATGCTTAGTATTTCATTTTACCTTGAATGATTCTTAATGACTTGCATTTTTTAAACAGTTGCCCTGAGAGTAAACCAAATTACCCATTAAACAGTGTTTTCACACGAAGATGTGTGAGAGCATACCTCTTGTAAGTAACGGTAATTTTAAAATCATTCTAAATAAGTATATGTGTTTCTAAGGTGATTTCTACTGAACAAGCAGTTCAAAGTAGACAGGGAAGAGAAATGGCTATCAGTGATGTACAGCTCAACAGGTAACCTAGCTGCCTTCTAAAATAGCTCTACTTATAAGATTCTAAAGATTCCTTTAGATATACTTGTATTTAAAGGGTAACTATGTGGGAAAATGATTATGTTAATTTGCTTGACTATAAGAACTACTTCACTATAAATAATTATATGAAAACATCATGTTGTACTCCTTAAATAATGTAGATTAAGGAAACTAAAATGAACAAAAATAATCTAGAAATACTTGTGTTTAGTAAACCAGTTTCAGGTTTCACCCTTGTACATTTCACCCATTCTCTAAGAACACTTAAGTATTTGGCACTGAGGAATAACTCAGAGCAACAACTCCTGGGGGAGAACTAGACTGGTTGGTTGGTGATCAAAAAGAACTACAGCATCTCTGAAGGCAATTAGCCCTCAACACTGTGACCAAGGCACTGGAGGTGGGGCTTGTTCTTTCTGCCTTCCACACAGCCCTTCAGGCTGAACAAGGTGTTATTTTTGAACCACCTTGTGGATTACCCTTCTTTTCATTCCTGTGATAATTATTCCCTCTTTCACAAGGATGCCTTTATGTAACACCTTGAAAATGTTACACAAATAGTTTTTCTTGAGGTACCCTCTAGTGATAACACCTAAAGATCACACTCAAAAACAGTCCCTGCCTGAGTGCCAGGATGTGCCCAGAGTAGCAGTATCACTTGACACTTTGGGTTCAGGTTGTGATCTACCAAAAAATAAATTAAACTCATTAATATTCCCATTTAGGAAAATTCTGACAAGTAATTTTATAACAAGATCACTTTATTTATCATAAAGCTTCAAAAATACTTAGTGAAAAAAACTAACTGGTCAGGTTAACTACATGAGACTTTTCAGGGAAAAAAGCCACACAAAAGCAAAAAAAGAGAAGAGAGACAGAAACTATCCTTGATGAACATTTTAAAGGAGGGATTATTTACTAACATTATTTTCCAAAATTACATTACCAAATTAGCATTCACTTCCTACTGATCTCCTGAAGCCATCTCACTAAAAATTATGCTTTCAAAACAAATTAATGAGTTTAATTCATTTTCTATGAGTATATGTTTTGACTTACTTCGTTATTTTTTCTGACATGGAACTGTTAGCTTTCAATGCTACTGCAAAGGCTTCCTTATACTCTTCTAATTCAGTTGTAACATCTTCATAAGCTGTTTTCATTTTGGAGAATTTACATTCCACATCTTTAAGTGTGAGTTCCTTCTTTTTTAGTGAAGCCGTATTATCCTTGTTTAACTGCTCTAATTGTTTTTCATATTCTGCTTGTTTCTAAAACAAATGAAAAGAATACACTTTTAAAACAATTATAAGTTAATTACCATATGTTTGTTGCCTTTCATTTTGAATCAGTGATTCAAAGAGCAATTTTGAATATGTTAAAAAGAGGCTGAAGCTTAAAATATTTATCAGCAATATCAACAAAACTAATAACTGAATTCAGAATTGTCTGATTTATAAAAATTTGGAATCATAATTATGTTAGTATTAATGTAATCTGGTCCTATAAAAAGTAATAGAATCCATTTATAATTTTAAAAAGTGAACAATGAACAACGTAGCTTAAGACCAATTCAAAAGTATCATATAATTTCTAAATCACAGTTTTCTCTTATGCCAACTGGTCTTAATCATCAAATTCCCCCTTTTACTGTATAGTGAGAATCATTACTTTGAAAGATTGATTTTGTTATAATAATAATGGAAATTTAAATATTTAAAAGGAAAAAACGTCACTTTTTTCTAGAGCTCTACAAAGGAAATTGCCGTAAGAGAGGCAGAGGAAACACAATATATACACATCCAAAATACAGTTTGCAGTGAAATAAATGAAAGCCCATTACAGATAAACTTACCTGATTTTAAAAACTAACCTGTAAATGGATTTCTTCTAATTTTTCTATTGCCTGCATTGCCCTTTCATCCAGCTCCGATTTATATTCTTGTACTTTACCAAGTTCTACCATATCTTTTTCCATATGTGTCTTAAGATTTAATACTTTTTCTTCCAACATCTTTTTATCCTTCTCAAGTTTTTCACATTTCTCTTGTACTTTTCCCATAGATAATAACTCCTGATGAAGAACTTCATTGTCTTTGGCCAAATTGACACATTTTGAAGATACAGCTTCCTTCTCGGCCATAAGATCATCAAACTGCATTAATAAAATAATAGAGCTTGATAATGAAGTAGGCTGAGAATAATCTAATACAAAACCAATAGCAAATTTTGAAATGCATCCACTTGCAATAAAATGTTATCTATAATGTAGTAGATTCTTCAAATGTGAACCCTTAAATTACTCAGAATTTTAAGAACAAAGTTAAAGCTACCATGAGTCACAAAAATATGCTTTACTGACATCATCTTTGCCACAGAACTTTTTCACTTGCTTTTACTTTTATTTTTCTGATAATTCATTTTTGTTCCTCCTTAAATGGCACTAAGTTATCTCTTAGTAAAAAGTGTCTAACCCTCTTCCCTCATCATCATTCCCCAAAATTTGTCAAAAAACCTTTCAGAGATATCATATTGAGTTATTTAGGCCAAAGTCAATAAATGGCTCCCAGAATAAGACTTTGAAAATAATATAATACTCTACGCTAGGCATGGTGGCCCATGCTTGTAATCCCAGCACTTTAGGAGGCTGTGGCAGAAAGATCACTGGAGGCCAGGAATTTGAGATCAGCCAGAGCAACATAGTGAGACCCCCATCTCTACAAAAAAAAACAAATTTAAAAAATTAGCCAGGCATGGTGGCTCAGGCCTGTAGACCCAGCTAGTTGGGAGACTGAGGCAAAAGGATGGCTTGTACCCAGAGTTCAGGGCTGCAGTGAATTATGACCACATCACTGCACTTCTGCCTGGATGATAGACAAAGACCATATCTCAAAAAACACAAAATAATGAATCCTGTAAATAAGGATTCTGATGCCATAAGCCTTTCCCTAAACCGCAAATGTTTCATGCTAATTTGAATTGCATTTTAAGAAGTAATGATTCTTGGGGTAAAGGCCATAGAATACAACACCCAGAAACAAATCCACATATTTACAGCCAACTTATTTTGGAATAAGGTGCCAAGAACATACATTGGGGAAAGGACACCCTCTTCAAATGAATGGCACTGGTAAACTATCCATATGAAGAATGATACTAGCTTCCTATCTAACACCATATAGCAAAATAAACTCAGAATCAATTGAAGATTGAAATGTAAGGCCCAAAGTTATCAAACTATTGTAAGTAAACATAGGGAAAATGCTTCAGGACATTAGTCTGCACAAAGATTTGTATAGGTAAGACATCAGAAGCATAGGCAACAAACAAATGATAGACAAATGGTACTACAACTGAGTGAAGAGAAAACCTGTAGAATGGAAGAAAACATTTTCAAGCTATTCATCTAATAAAGGACAAATATCCAAAATACACAAGGAACTCAAACACCCTGACAGTAAACAAAAATAATCTGAGTTCAAAACTAGGCAAAAGATCTGATTAGATATTTCTCTTTTTTTAAGAGAAAAAAAAGAAATACAAATGGCCAATAAATACATTTAAAAATGTTCAGTATCACTAATCATCAGGGAAATACAAATCAAACCTACAATGTGATATAATCTTGCTCCATTTCAATAAATGGCTATCATAGAAAACACAAAAAAAAGTGCTGGTGAGGTTTCAGAGAACAGTAAACTCTTACATGCTGTTGGTGGGAAGGTAAATTAGTGCAGCTACTATAGAAAACAATATGAAGTTTTCTCAAAAAATGAACAATGGAACTGCTGAGGGATCCAGCAACCCCACTACTGGGTATTCAGGCAATAGAAAAGAAAACAATAGATCACAAGGATACTTTTCCTCACATGTTTACTGTAGCACTATTCACAACAGCTAATGTATAAAATCAACCTACATGTCCATCAACAAATGAATGGACAAAAAAATTGTGGTACACATACACAATGGAATACTCACCATATAAAAAAATGAAATCTTCTTACTTGTAGCCACGTGGATCAGTCTGGAGGATATTATGTTAAGGGCAGACACAGAAAGATAAATACTGCACATTCTCACTCATGTGTGGGAGCTAAAGAAAAATTGAGGGCTGGGCAACATGGCTGATGCCTGTAATTTCCTAGCACTTTGAAAGACCGAGGCAGGAGAATCACTTGAAGCCAAAAGTTCCAGAGCAGCCTGAGCAACATAGAAAGACATCTCTACAAAGTAAAAAATCAGACAGGTGCAATGGTGCACGCCCATAATCCTAGCTGCTCAGGAGGGTGAGGTCGGAGGATGACATGGGCCCAAGAGTTTGAGGCTGCAGTGAGCTATGATCAAATCACTGTCTCTAGCCTGGATGACTCTACAGTTGCCCAGAGCCCAGACTACACTAGCAAGACCCTGTCTCTTAACAACAAAAAAGCTCATAGAAGTAGGAGAGGGGAGTCTGGTTAATGGATACAGAATTACAGTTAGATAAGAGGAATGAGTTCTGATGTTCTGTGGCATTGTAGAGTGAATATGGTTAACTATGATTTATTGAATATTTTTAAAAAGCTAGAAGATTTTGAATGTTCACAATTCAAAGAAATGAAAAATGATTGAAGTAGTAAGAAGTAGTAAATATGCTAGTTAGCTTGATCATTATGCACTATATAAATTTATCAAAATGTCACCCTATAGCCCATAATTATGTATATACATGTCAATTAAAACAAAAGAGAATCTATATTCATCCCATTAAAAGAATAGAATATGGGCCATCCTTACTGATGGCCTTCTCCTAATGAATAGAATGCAGTAAAAGGGATACCATGTAGCTTCCCTATCTCAGACTGCTTTCCCTTCGAACTCAGCCCCCAGATTGTGAGAGAGATCAGTCCACAAAGACAGCCTGGGAGTGCCAGTGTCGGTGTTCATGCTGCCTGCCCCAGCTGAGGTTCCAGCCAATGGCCAGCATCAACCATCAAACACATGGGAGAGCAAAGCTTCAGATGATTCAATTTCTCCAACTTCCTAGGGAAGCTGAGGGGAGCAGAGACAAGCTGTCCTGGCCAATCTTTTTCCAAACCACAGGTTCATGAACAAAATAAATGTTTTTCTTTTAAGCCACAAAACTCTGGGTAATTGTTAGAAAAATAAGTTTTAAAAAGAGACAACAGGAAACAACTTAGGTAGCAGAAAAGAGTCTCCTTTAAAGTAGATCTAATAAATGTTGAGATTAATTTATTGATGACAAACATTATTGAGAAGCAGCAGATAACCAGGAGAGAGGTGTAAGCTGCTGAGGAGGAACTTTTCCTAAAACCCCCTTCAATTATGAGCTCTGATAATAAGGCAAGGGTGTCTCCTTACAATTTCCCCTCAAGTTAGGAAATAAGACTGCAAAGCAAGAAGACATATGATTTGAAAAACAACTGGAAATACTTGGTTACATAACCAAAATCAGACATTTACCTGATTTCAATTAATGAAAATTCTAAAAGAAGAAGCTTTGAGTATTTATTAATCAATCTAGTATTCGATTTTCATTTTCCTTTTTCTCAATGAGGAAATAAGGAGAAAATTATGGAATGACTTTTACTCTTCACAGAAGTAAAATAAACACAGCATACTTTGAGTGTTAAGACATCAAATGCAATTTCTCCTTTACCTTACTTCACGTTTGTTTGCATGGAGAAGTTAAGACCATCCCATCTCTGTATTATACCACAATGCTTCTCTATAGCACACAACTTGGCTCTGAAATTTTGAAATTCAAAATACTAATCTACTATTTGTCTCTGATAAATTGCCTGAATATTACCTGATTTTTAAGTGCTGCACTCCTAAAACTTTTTCTTGGAATGAGTTAAACTTTTTATTCCAAGAATCCTCTACTGAGCTAGAAAGCAGAGCTGTGCATCTCTGTTTCAGTAAAAGGAGGTCAATACAGAAACCGTGGTTTCTGAGAATGCAAGATCTGCACCAAGAAAAGGATTAGCCACAGTGTTACACAACAGAACAAGATGCCAGGTGGAAAGAGGATCTGTGAACTGAAAGATGATGACTTCACTTGATTTCCACTGAGGAAAGCTGGCAGCTCAGACTTAAACTCCTCCTTCCTGGATGGTAAACATCTATGGATGATTCTATGAATTATAATGAGTTAGTAAAACATAAGGCACTAAATAGTAGACTATTTCAGCAGATACTGCGACCAAAATTTACTGAAAATGAAACCATAGAGGGAGGCACTGGATAAGAGACTAAAGGTTTAAATGGAGAAAAAAAGAAAGAGTGTGTCTCGTAAGCCTGACTTGCCATCATGTCTTAGAGTAAGTAAGGTATAAGCTGGCCACAGACTCCTTTGAGACACAAAAGGTGAAGTTAAAGATATTCTACTACATTTAATTTTTATTATGACATAAGACAACTGGTAATATGCAACATGATTGAAAAAATTTTCTCAGTAAATTCAATTTGGTCCTGGTATAAGAATAGACATAAACTAAGAATAGACATAAACTAAGAATTGATAATCTAAAAATAAGCCTGCACATTTACAGTCAATTGATTTTATACAAGGTTAACAAAAAAACAGAATGGGAAAAGAATAGTCTTTTCAATAAATGATATTGGAACAACTGGGTATCCATGTGCAAAAAAAATTATAAAGTTGGACTCTCACCTAATACCATATTTAAAAATTAACTCAAAACAGTTAACTGTAACAGCTAAAACTATAAAACTCTCAGAAGAAAACGTTGGCATAAATCTTTGTGACTGCATTTGGCAGTGTTTTCTTAGCCATGACTCCAAAGGAAAAATGGATTCAATGAACTTCAAAATTGAAAACTGCTGTGCCTGAGAAGACAGTATGAAGAACTGAAAAGGTAAGACACTGAGTAGAAGAAAGTATCTGAAAAGCATATATCTGATAAGGGACTTACATATATAGGATATATAAAGAACCCTTGCCATTAATAAATAACAAGATAACCCAATTTAACAAATGGGCAAAGAATTTGAATAGATATTTCTGCAAAGAAGATATAAAGATGGATAATAAGCACATTAATAGATGCTTAATGTAATTAGTCATTAGGAAAATGTAAATCAAAACCACCTTGTGGTATCACTTCACACCACAGGACCAAATCTTTGTTCAATAAAAAAGAGAAAATAAGTGTTAGGGAAAATGTAAAGAAATTAAAGCCCTTATCCAATGCTGCCGGGGATGTAAAGTGGTGCAGCCACTTTGGAAAACAAATTGTCAGCTCCTCAAAAGGTTAAGCATGAAGTTACTGTATGACCCAGAAATTCCAGTCATAAGTATATACTCCACAAAAATAAAAACATATGCAAGCACAAAAACTCATACATAAATGTTTACAGCAGCATTATTACTATATTTTTTTGAGACGGAGTCTTGTTCTGTAGCCCAGGCTGGAGTGCAGTGGCATGATCTCAGCTCACTGCAACCTCTGCCTCCTGGGTCTGGGGTCAAGCAATTCTCCTGCCTCAGTCTCCTGAGTACCTGGGATTACAGGCACACACCACCATGCCCAGCTAATTTTTGTATTTTTAGTAGAGACAGGGTTTCACCATGTTGGCCAGGATGCTCTTGAACTCCTGACCTCGTGATCCACCTGCCTCGGCCTCCCAAAGTGCTGGGATTACAGGTGTGAGCCAACACCCCTGGCCTACAGCAGCATTATTAATAAGAGTCAAAAAGTGGAAAGAACCCAAAGGTCCATCACCTCATGAATGGTTGCATAAAATGTTTGATGTATTCATACAATGGAATATTACTCAGCAATAAGAAGAAATTTAGTACTGATACTGATAGAAGCAGGAGACAGCAAAATGCCTAGGCAGATATGGAAGGGTCCCCAGAGAATCTCCAGGCCCACAAGTGTCTACACCAGATAAAACATCCGGTGCAGATAAGGGAACCTGCACAGGGGCTTGCCTGGACATGCCAGCAGCAGACTGGAGGCCCACATGCACTGGGGGGTTGGGGTGGAGCCACCAGGAATTCATGCCTTATGCAGAGGAGGAGCCTGGCCTCTTCAGCTCATGTGTGCCTGTCCTGGTATTCAATTGTGAGGTGGAAATCTGTTTGCAGGACCCCTCTCTTTGCTGAGAGCTTCCCTTTCACTTAATAAATTCTGTCCTTCTCACCCTTCAATGGGTCCACATGGCTAATTTTTCCTGGTCATGAGAGAAGAACCCAGATTTAGCTGAACTAAGGAGTGAAAGCCCTGCATCAATACCTGCTACAGCACAGATGCAGCATGAAAAATTATGCTAAGTGAAATAAGCCAGTCCCAGTCGACCACTTGCTTTTTATTTCAGAGGCTTATACGCAAATCTATACGAAGAAGGTGGGTGGTTCCCTAGGGCTGAGGGAGGAAGGGAAAACTAGTGAAGATAGCTAAATGATGTGGGGTTTGTTTTTAAGGTGATGAAAGTGTTCTAAAATTGATGTAACAATGATTACATAACTCTGAAAATACTAAAATTGAATGACTTGTATATTTTAAATGAGTGAATTGCATGGTATGTTAATTACTTCTCAATAAACCTGTTACACCCCAAAATTTATTTGGTACTAGTGATCTGGAGACATGGGCTGCTTCGTTTCAGATCACTGGCCAGGGTTCAAGACATAAGAGAATCAACAGCACGTCTTTTGTATAGAAAAATATATACATATATATTTTTTAAAGTATCTTTTTATTAGTATCAAGTCTGTAAAATTAAATGAAAAATCTGTCACTGCTTAAAGCACTGAGAGATTTATATTGAGGAGCAAGACCTTGTATTCTTTTGCCCCAATTTCTATCTAAAGGGTCTGGGAATCACACCCTTCAAACAATCAAATCTCATCAGATGGGTTTTATTAACTCTTATAATGTGGTTTACTTTCTAACCTGATTCTGGTACAGCATCACAGAGAGAAGAAGCTGAAAAAAATCAAAGTATTTTACCCCCAAATATATATTTTTTGACATATTTTGAAATGGCTGTTGCAGGGCCAAGAGATTGAAATGGCCGTACAAAGCTGCCATCTGTGGGGGAATTTGCATCTGTAAGAAGTCTTCATTAATGTAGCCCAATCTCTCCCCTTCTAGGTCTTCCCAGATCTAGGGAAGATAAACTAAGATCCTGATGCATTTCAAGTCTGAAAAGATATATTTACCCTCTATTTTCTCTGAGGACTGCCAGCTAGGAGGCTTCATCTACATAATAAGAACCTTAACCTCCATAATGACCTTATCTTAATTAAGGCCTTCCTTTATACCTATTTCCAGTTTTAGACAACAGATTTTGTTTATCAATTGTCACTGAAAGAATCCTTAAAACCCACCTATGACTTGTTAGCCCCTCCTTTTTGATGTCCCACTTTTAGGCTGAGCCAATGTATGCCTTCCTCATATTGATTTATGATTTTCCCTACAACTCTGTCTGCTGGAAATGTACAAAACCAAACTGTAATGTGACTGTCTCATGAAGCATTCTCAAGAGCTCTTGAGATTGGGTAATCCAGGGCCACAGTCACCATACTGGCTCAGAATCAACCTCCTTAGATGTATTTTGGCTGAATTTGGGTTTATCCATCATTAATATTTCTCCAAATTACATAATTTTAATCCCCAAACTGATTTAAAATTACCTTACGTTTAAATATAAATTATTGTATTATAAAGATACATGTATTTGTATGTTCATTGCAGCACTATTCACAATAGCAAAGACATGGAATCAACCCAGATGTCCATAATGATAGACAGGATAAAAAAATGTGGTGTATATACATCATGGAATACTATGGAGCCATACAAATGAATGAGATCATGCTTTTTGCAGGGACATGGATGAACTCGAAGCTGTTATCCTCAGCAAACTAACACAGGAACAAAAAACCAAACACTGCATCCTCTCACTTATAAGTGGGAGCTGAATGATGAGAACACATGGACTCAGAGGGGGAACAACAAACACTGGGGCTTGTTGGGGTCAGGAGGGGGAGCATCAAGATTAATAGCTAATGCCTACGGGGCTTAATACCTAGGTGATGGATTGATACGTGCAGCAAACCATCATGGCACACATTTACCTATGTAACAAACCTGTACCTCTCACACATGTAATCTAGACCTTAAGATAAAATAATAATTTTTTAAATTACCTTCTGTTTTAGCTTCTTAAACAGAATATCCATTTTCAGTTGGTCTGTATTTAAGTCTCCATGGCAACTGAAGTCTTCATTTGCAAATGCATTTAACATATTTATTGTCATTTCTAGGCATTTCTTATATCTGCAGAAATGTAAGAACTGGTAAGTCAAGAATTTTTAAGAGTAAATATTTAATAATTGTTTAAACAGATACTATGTTATGGCATATCAAAGAAACAAATCTATAAACTATGATCCTCTCAGTTTCAACTGAACATAGTTTGAAAGCATTCTATATGAAATTATAATCTTATATAAATAATATGAAGAACAATTTTATGGTATATATAGCAGGTAAAGTGATAATAGCCATACAGTTTTTTTTTTGTTTTTGTTTTGTTTGTTTTTTTTGAGATGGAACTTCACTCTTTTTGCTCAGGCTGAAGTGTGATGGCGTGATCACGGCTCACTGCAACTTCTGCTTCCTGGGTTCAAGTGATTCTCCTGTCTCAGCCTCCCAAGTAAGCTGGGATTACAGGCATGTGCCACCATGCTTGGCTAATTTTGTATTTTTAGTAGAGATGGGGTTCACCATGTTGGTCAGGCTGGTTTTGAACTCCTGACCTCAAATGATCTACCTGCCTTGGCCTCCCAAATTGCTGGGATTACAGGCATGAGCCACCACACCTGGCCTAACCATACAGTTTTTTATAAATAAACTATTCATATCCATTTTGGTATGCTAAGATGAAATAACGTATTAGTAAATATAAGGCATAACCAAGAGATGAGTAACCAAGACTTTAAAAAAGTAAAACATATATATGTATGAAAAAGACACAAAAATAAATTTTGATATCCGTTGACCACAGTCTATAAGAAGAAAAAAAAGTACACCCAAAAAGCACAAGGACATTATTCAATGTAGAAAAAGAGAAGAAAACATCTTTAATGTCTGAATTGAGGAGAAAAAGAAAACAGGCAGTTTTAGAAAAAAGGAAAGGTGGAGAGAGATATGTGATGATTTAAAGACTTTGAAGAAGAGATCTAGAGATCTTTACTGACATAATGTCAACAAAATGAAAGATACAAAACCATGTAGAGAAAGACAATGGCAGAAAAATATTGATTAGAATCAGAAAACCAACTTAAGTGCTCAGTAAATACATGGAAAAGTAGCTGTGTTCAGGGCTTCAAAGACACATTCCATTTTTTTAAAAAAAGTCTGTGATCAAAACATGAATGCTCATTTTACTCTTTTTCTTTAGGTTATACTTTTTCTATATATAAAATTTATTTCTGTAAAACAGAAGTTTAATAAGATGTATACTTCATGTATACAATGGAGCTACCCATGTAAAATGAGTAAATTTCCATGATATGTTTTATATCTAAAAGAAAAACAAAGAAGCAGAAACAAAATACAAGCTATATATCCAGATAAATTTTGATGTTAAAGAAGGACACAAATAGGTCTTTAAAAAATTTGAATGCAGCAGTGAAGAATATTACAAAAGGAAGAAAAGATGACCAAATACAGCAAAAATATCTTCAGAAATAAAAATTCAAACTAGATAATGAAAAGTGCGCTTGACATTACATGTCCAAAGCATTGTCATTATTGTTTTCAAAATCATTAAAGAATACATTGCTAAGCGCAGTGGCTCATGCCAACTTTGGGAGGCTGAGGCAGGTGGATCATGAGGTCAGGAGTTCGAGACCAGCCTGACCAACATAGTGAAACCCCATCTCTACTAAAAATACAAAAATTAGCCAGGCAGGGTGGTGCACACCTGTAATCATAGCTACTCAGGAGGCTGAGGCAAGAGAATCACTTGAACCCAGGTGGCAGAGGTTGCAGTGAGCCAAGATCACGTCATTGCACTCCAGCCTGGGTGACAGAGCCAGACTCTGTCTCAAAAGATAAATAAATAAATGAAAATAGGTGTAATGTTTTGGCATTCAAAAAAATTTCAGATTGTGTTGTAAGTTTCTTTTTTCACATATTTTTAATATAAATTTTTTCATCCCAACCTCACCCCAGCAGCTCAGCTGACTCCCAACCCCTGTTTCTCCCCTTCCATTGGACTCTATGACACATGGTCTCATCCAGAGATCTATTTTTCATCACTTATTGTGTTTTTATACTGAAATTTGATTTTTTTAATAATTCCAACAAAAAAGTCCAAGGGTCATGGACTCCTGCTCACATGCCTATAAAGTTGTGTTGTGAGTTTCTGAAATATATTTTAAAACAGAATTCATTTAATTATGAAAATGAAGACATAAAATGAATTTGTATCAAAGTTTTAGTCAAGTAAAGTTAGAGTTAAATCAATTACTAAATGGCTAAAATGTTCTACAATATGAAAACCATACCCAGTTGCCTCTTCTTCTAATTCACGATTTTTCTTTCTTATTTGATCCGCAGTATAGTTCAGTAATGATATTAATTCAAAAACTTTTCTGAATTCTTCATGTTTTTCTTCAGGCTTGAAAAAAAGTGTTTAAAATTATTTTTGTAAAATCTAGAGACCCTCTTCTATCTTAAAAATATTATTTCTCATAAGTTGATGAATAATATGTATTTAGGCAGTTGTATAAAGTGCATTTTACAAACCTGATGCCAATAATGAGATTTCAAAACTAGTCATTTTCTTAAAACAGCTAAAAAAGATTCACACTTTCATCATTACCTTTTCTGAAATTTAAACTGCCAAAAATGTTTGTTAAAAATGAGAGTTTTTACACATAAAGTACTAAGGGTTAGTAAGATGAATTAAGAGTAGTTATATTTACATTTTAGTTTTTAAAGATGCTCTAGAAACATTGTCATTAATAGTTTAAGATATTCCAAGTTAAATTACATCTTACTAAGATGATTTTTAGAAAACTCTTATCTAGTTCCCATTACATTTTTGATCCTCATCTACCTTCAGGCTGAGCTAAATACTGTCATTCTCTGTAAGTATTCACCTGTAGGTTTCAGTTTTTCCCTGTCTATTAACCATTTCTCTTTAAACAAAGTTTATTTTTTCTATAATACACAAATAATAACTTTTGTCTACTTTTTGTGGCTTTTCTATTATCCTGTTTCTCCCCTTCCATTGGACTCTATGACACAGGGTCTCATCCAGAGATCTGTTTTTCATCACTTATTGTGTTTTTATTGAACACAATAAGTGTTATATTGAAACTTGAGATAAACCAGTGCAAGGCTCTTTAGAGCAAAACCTAGGTAACAGACATCTGGGTTGCTTGGCAAAGGTCATGTGTAATCCTAAGTTATGAACCTGTCACAATTTAATTAATTGTTCTGCCTCTGTATCCGTGCTTTCACACCACTGTAACTGTAAGCCTGCTTCAAGCTAGCCCACCTCATTTTTGAAGTGTATATAAAAGTCAAGTGCTGTCTTTGTTCTGGGCCCAGTTTGTCAGATGTTGAGTCCGCTGGGTCTGAGTACACTCGATAAAGATATCCTCCTGTGTACACCCCAAGGTCTCTCTCTGGTCCTCCTGATTCTGCAACACCACCTCACCCAGCTAATTGTTTGTATTTTTAGTAGAGATGGTGTTTCACAATGTTGGCCACGCTGGTATTGAACTCCTTACCACATGATCTGCCCTCCTCGGCCTCTCAAAGTGCTGAAATTACAGGCGTGAGCCACCATGCCTGGCTGCTACTCCTCTTTTTAAATTCTCTCAGAACTCCTAATATCTCAAAACGTTAACCTGGATTCCCTAATATAAATTTCCAGCTCTGACCTTTTTACTGAGGACTCTTCCCTCTAGTACACATATTATAGACAATATTCTCAACCACACACTTATACATTTGCTACTTGGTGCAGATTACTTTTGTAGATAGTGAATCTTGTCTATTTTATGTTGATTCTTATGGATGTTACTTTGAGTACACTGTTATTTTCTAATCTTGAAGGGGGGCTGTCTCACCCTTAGGATATTCACCAGTATACTTTGCTTTGTCCTTTCTTTTTCTTTCTTTCTTTCTTTCTTTTTCCTTCTTTCTTTCTCTCTTTCTTTCTTTCTCTCTCTCTCTCTTTCTTCTTTTTTGGGCCAGTATATTTTGTCCGTTTTTTCTTTTTCTTATTTATTTATTTTTTTTTTGAGATGGAGTCACACTCTGTCATCCAGGCTAGAGTGCAGTGGTGCCATGTCGGCTCACTGCAACTTCCACCTCCTGGGTTCAAGTGATTCTCCTGCCTCAGCCTCCCAAGTAGCTGGGGCTACAGTTGCACACCACCAGCTAATTTTTGTATTTTTAGTAGAGACAGGGTTTCACCACGTTGGCCAGGCTCTTCTTGTACTTCTGACCTCAGGTAATCCACCCACCTCAGCCTCCCAAAGTGTTGGGATTACAGATGTGAGCCACGGCACCCAGCCCTTTTTTCTTTTATAATGAAAACTTTCCCATGAGAAACAGATTATCAATTGTTTGCCTTTGTTTTCTTTTAAAGAATTTCCTTTTCCATAGAGATATGGCATGATGAACATCTTGTTCTAAAGTTCCTTTTGGGGGACACTCAACTATGTCATTGGGAAGCTCCAGTCAAGTAGAGATCTCCCTTCTTCCTGATCGAGATTCTTCATCTCAGAATGGTGTCCACCAAATGTCTTAATCCAGGTAGTCTCCTGCTTAGGAATTCATGAAATAAGAACCTTCTGGAGAAGTTAGAGGCTATTGATTGAGATGGTTTAAAGCTGCCCCTTATTATATGTTTTACTCCCAAGGCAGACATCAAAGTGGCTAATAATCCTATGCCTGATGTCTAACTCAATTCTATGGGAATCTATACAAAACGTTTTATTTATGAGACAGAGCTTGCTCTGTTACCCAGGCTGGAGTGCAGTGGCTTGATCACCGCTCACTGCAGCCTTGATATTCTGAGCTCAAGCGACCCTCCTACCACAGCCTCCAACGTAGCTGGGATTACAGGCATGCACCACCATGCCCCAGCTGTTTAATTTTTTTTTTTTTTTGTAGAGTCAGGGTCTCACTTATATTGCTCTGGCTGGTCTCAAATTCCTGGGCTCAAGCACTGTTCTTGCCTCAGCTTCCCCAAGTGCTAGAATTACTGGCATGAGCCACCTCACCAACCAGGTGTTCCATGGAATGGTTTGAGAGGCAGTTCTACACAGAAGCCAGAAGGGCTGGGTCTGAATCCCAGATCTACCAGATACTAGCTGTGCGACCTTGAGCAAATTAATTTTCCGTGTCTCCGGTTCTTTATCTATGAAATGGAGAGAATAATACCATCTACTTCACTGGGATGTTGGGAAGATTAAACCAGGGACTGACGTGAAGCACTTAGAAGAGTATGTGGTGCATGGTGAGCTACAGGTAAGATTTGCTTAGAAGCACTTAGAAGAGTACATGTACATAGTGAGCTACAGACAATATTTGCTATTAGCATGATAATTTTCACTCTTTTTTATCTCTTGACCATTGTATGTGTTAGGGAGGTGGCATTCCAATGGAAGTGGCCTCCTATAGATGCACTGAATCATTCTTCACACCACTGAAAGTGGCAGCAAATGGGGAGTGTATAATTTATAGCTTACTCTTCTCTCTGTGTGACTCAGTGGGCAACAGTCATGTATGTACTACAATGGAAACAGCACCTCCTGGATTGAGTAGTACATAACCGACATGACCAGCAGAGACAGGCTGAGCCACGGAGCTGAAAACCCTGGACTCTATTGCTAAATCAAGTCTTCTGAATCAATTCCCTCCCAGCAGCTGTTGCTGTGGCACTGCCTTCACGAGTACTCTGCTGAGCGCTAGGATTAAGGAGCTGTGCTGTCCTTCATCAGACAAGCTGCAGCCAGAACTATTCAGCTGACAAACTGGCAACCATCCAGAAATACAGTTTTGGCTACATAGTGAAGGAAGGCAAATTTAGATTCTTTTTTCATACTGAGAAAAACATGAGCACTTGATTGAACAATTCTCCTCTATTAGACTAATTGGTTTTAATTTCATATTTAATTGCTAAAAATACACTTAGAATAAAAGATTTACTGTGTTAATGTCTCAAAGAAGAAATAATTGGTATGGTATATTTTGTTCTATGCTAAAAGCTGCCAAGCTAAAATATTTTCAATTTATACAAGGATAGGTGACATTCATGTCATATATTATTTTCCCTTTAAGTGAATTTATGTTAAGACAAAATTATCTTCCATTAAAAATTAAAATCCATGTCAAATTAAGGGCTAAGTTGTTCTGCAGACTGGGCAACAAGTGCTGAGATGTAAGGTCAGTGAGAGAACAGTCAGAGAAAGCTTCAAGAAGAGGACATTGCCTGTCAGGTCTGAATGAATGAGGCTAGATGAGCAGGAACTGAGAAGGCAGGAAGGACAGCATGGGTAAAACTGGTGCTGACATCTGCCCAATTAACTCTGAGGATAGAGTCCAATGGCAGGGAAATAAAAACATATGTCCATACAATAACCTGTAAATGAATGTTTGCAACAGCTGTTTTCATAATAGCCAAAAAGTGGAAACAACCTAAAGGTCCATCAGCTGATGAATGAATGGAAAACTGGTGTAGCCATGAAATAGACTATTATTTGACAATAAGAAGGAATAAACTACTGATATGTGCTACAACATGGATAAAATTCTGAAAACATTCTGCTAAGTGAAAGAGCCAGTCAGAAAGGACTTCATATTGTATGACTCTATGTATTTAAATATGCAGACCATGCAAATCTATGGAGACAAAAGTGGATGGTGGTTGCCTACAACTGGGGTAGGTGGAGAGACATGGAGTGGGGTTGCAGTCATGGCTAAGAGATGTAGGATTGCTTTTCAGAGTGGTGAAAATGTTCTAGCATTGATTATGCTGATGACCACACAGCACTGTGAATATACTAACAGACACTGAGTTGTACATTTTAAATGGTTGAACTGTCTGACATGTGAATTATCTCTCAGTGAAACTGTTTTTAAAATCCCATGGTAGGATCCAGATAATTTTCTGAGCTCTCTATTTTGGATGTACATACTCTATTAGATCTGAGTATTTCTACGCCATTACAATATATTTTAAATGAAAGGAAGATGAAGGCAATGCCTAACTTTTCAAGTAGTTTGTAAATTAACCTAAAACATGTGCATTTCAAAGAACAGTATGATGGCCTTTCTGTACAAGTTAACCTAGAATCCATGAAATGAATACGCACAGCTGCTGTGTCCATTCACAAAAGTGAAGAAATAAGACAACTTGATGGAATATTCCATTAAACATTCTCTTCTGACTTAATCTGGCTTGCCTCACCAAGGCATTAAGGAAATTATCTAAAAATACTGTTTAACAGGAAAAAAGTCAATTTTCTGTGAGGAATGATGTATCATTCTCAACTTTCCCAAGAGTAGATATTATAAGAGAAAACATATGCAATTATTATTTCAAAATGGCAGAACAAGAGCCAGAGTTGAAGAAGTACGTTATAAAGATAATAAAATGGTAATGATCAATTATAATGAAAATACAAAATCAAGCTGTCCACTGAAATTAGTATCCTAAGACACTTAGGATACTGGTATTCAACCAGCTACAGATTAACTGTCTACATGTTAAATTCCATACATACTTGAATTTCTACTTGAAATAATTTCTTCTTTGAAGTCCATGTCTCATCCAAATTAATATGACAATGTGATGTACCTTCCAGTGGAGACTCTGACATTGAAAATTTTTTAAGATGATCGACCAGTTCTTCTTGAAATTCTCTCACAATCACCTGACAAAATATTTTTGTTACCAATTTTATAAAGTGCCTTATTATTAAATTATGTTAATATTTAACTCTAGCATACATACTTTGAAAATTATTACCACACACACAGATTCACTTTCTTTTCCTCATATGTACACTTTCTTCTTTATTACTGAATTCAGTGAGGGACATAGAAGGTGTTATATTCTGCCAAATTGATATTCTCTTACATGACAGATTGATCCAGCCCGCTATTCATTCACCTTAGACCCTCAACTCAACCTGAGTTCCTCACATATTCAGTCACCTGTTGAAATCCTTCCAACGGATTCCTACCTCAGAATAAAAGTAAAATTCCAACAGCCTTCAAGGCCCTAGGTAACATGGCCTCTACCTCCCTCCCTGACCTCAGCTCCTACAACTCTGTCCCGTACAAACTTCAATCCCACTCTCCGTGAACTCTGCCACCCCTCATTAGTCTGAAAATGGGGATTCAATGTCAAACTCATAAATCACAGACAGCTAAAAGTATCTTTGTACTGGAAAGAATTATATCCAAATGATAGTCATTGAGACTTAAAATGTAAATTATGAGCTAATTACCCATAAAAATATTCACAGTAAATTATAAATACCTGCCAGTGGAAACATTACATCAAATATTTTTTTGCTAAAATTTACCACATTTATTCCAAATTGTGATTTTATAACAAGTAGAAGTCTTTAAAATACTAAGTGGTCAGAAAAATACATAATGTGAGACTGACATATTTTCAGACTTAAGTCACATTGGTATGAATCAGAACAAAGTTATACTAACTAAAATACATATAAGAGAGAGCCACTGAAGGAAAAGCATCACAAGACACAGCAACACACTTCAGTTCATCTGGAAAATCTAAGTGTCAAAGCGGCTCACTTAATTGAATCTGAATTTCAAAATACACATTTCAGGTGCAAGCATTTCCACTTACCTGCTTCATTATGCTCTTAAAATGCGGCAACATAAAGACGTTACATTTCTTATTTCAGTAGTCTAAGACTACACACCTTATCAGCATTGCTCTGCATCTACTAACATTTCATAGGTGACATAATGTCTTTACTCAAAGGAAAGCAACTGTCAGCTCTACCTTTTATCTCCTGGAAACAAAGCATGTTTCCAAGCTGATACAGTAAACACTTTTTTGGTTTACTAAAACAGCTTCGTTGAAATATGATTTTTATTCAAACAGCTTTGTTGAAATATGATTTATAGAATTTATCTGTTTTAACAAACAGTTCAAAGATTTTTAGTAAATTTACTGTGTCGTGCAACCATCTCTACAATCCAACTTTAGAACATTTTCATCACTCCAGGACAATCCCTAATGCCCATTAGCAGTCACGACCCGCTTCCAGCCCCAGGCCTACACAAACATTAATCATCTTTCTGTCCCTATACATGTATTTCCTGGATGATTCATGTAAATGGAATTATACAGAATGGTAAACACATTTTCATCTATTTATTTTTATATTGAACTACGTTCAACATATAGCCACAATGAAATGTTTAAATTTTCTTTCCAGAAGGTTATAGTTTTCTTCATACTTACTTCTCTTTCTGCTTTTTCTTTTTCATACTGAAGCAGTTTTTCTTTTAAATAATTATATTCATTCATTAATTCCTTATTTCTTTCTTCTAGAAGATCTTCCTTTCCATTCTCAAGACAGTCTCTGTGGATATTAATGACTATCTCTTTATTATCACCTTCCTTACGAGCATCCTCTAGTTGTCGTTCAAGCAAGAGATTTTCAAGTTCTCGTTGACGTATTCTCTCCTCTGAAGAGTTCTGCTTTCCAATGGATTGACTTTCTTTAGCTTCCCCATTTGGATGCATCTGCTTCATTTCCTTTATTCGATGCTGCGCTTGCTTTAGGTCCAGCTGTACACTTTCTAAAGCCAATGTCTTTTCCCTGAGAGCATCTCTTGTCTCACGGAGCTTACCTTTTAAGGTATTGAACTTCACCCGAGCTTTATGGACCTGTTCAGTAAGCAACTCATTCTTATCTGTTAGTTGAGAAATATTAGAACCCATTGTTTCATGTCTAGAAACATCATCTGCTCTCCATAAAACTAGTTCTAGGTCTTTTCTTTCCAAAATTTCATTGTACTCATTTATAGCAGTGGCCAAGTTAGAATGGAGGGATTCAACTTCAGCTTCTAGTCTTTCTTTGTTGTGTTTTTCCTTCTCCAATTTTGAATTCAGCCTTGCATTCTCAGCTTTCAGATCATTAAGCTGTTGCGAATACTGGGCCACTTTTTTTGTTATCATTTCTTCATTGAGTCTTACACTCTTTTCAAAGTTAGCATTTATTTCTGTAATACTTTTAATTTCCTGAATATATTTCTTTTCCTTTCTGAGACTGTCATTTTTTATTGCATATAATTCCTCTTTGAGCATGGCAATGTCTCTCTTCAACATAAAATTTCCAAACATCTCATCCTTCTTTTTTCCATAACTTTGAGAATCCTAAATAAAACAAAACAAATTTTTAGTTAGCACTCAAAATAATCTATGATGGTTATTTCTGAAGTGAAAGAGCAACCTATACATTCATGCAATTAAAAGTTGCTGTAAGTGGATAACCAACTGGAGAAAAAAATTGAAGCAAAACCTTGAACCTTAGAGAACATACATTTCAAAAAGTTCAAAAATGTATTTGAAGTCAATGAATCCATAAAACACACACACACACACACACACACACACACACACACACACACACTCTAGAGAATTTTTAAGAATATCAGAATTGGAAAAGCATTTCTCTGAATTACAACAAACTCAAAGCATAAAGTTGTTTAAAAATTTGACTAAATTAAAATCTTGGAAAAAGGAAATTGCATTTATACTCTGATATCTAACCCAGACACCACCCTATAGTAAGAGCTTTACCTCCACATCTATTTGGACAGATAAAATCTCTCAAAGTTTTAAAAGTTCTGTTTCCCTGATCATATTCTATTGTGATTTGACTCAACATTTTTTAGTCAGTTGTAAGAATTACATTTACTAAATCATAAATCTAGACATTGTACTAAGCACTTCTACATACATATATTGATGAACTTATTTAGTTATCACAATCCTTAAAAAAGACAGGTTAAAAATATAAGCAAGCTGCAGGATTTTCCTCACGGCTTCTGACTCTACTTCCAGTTCTCCATCAGATCACAGTTACCTCTGTGGTGTAAATATATCAACACAAAAACAGAGAAACAAAAAGACACAGGCATAAAATGTGTCTTCTGCCTTTGTCACTTGGATTCTCCATGAAATAGCCAGATTGAGAGGATGTGACCTTGTGGGGCTTCAGAAACAGAAAAGAACCTTTCCCTTTTCTGCACTAAGATATTCTTTTCCCCACTGCCTTTTCTCCTTATTTTTTCATTTGGTTCCTGGGATATCAAAAAAGTGAAGGTGCTCACTGAAATAGAGGAACCAAAGTTTGCCACAACACAAGGAGCCGAGTGAAACTGCTGAGTTTCTAGTGTGGAATCCTGGAAAATGAGATGTTCCTCAAATGTACATTCAATCACCACAGAAGTTTGTAGCTGGAAGATACACAGTATAGCTGTCCACTCTAGCCCCATTATCTACTTGATAATGGAAGTAAAACCAAGAAATATTAAGTAACTCACCCAAAGCCCCTAAGGTGGCATTGCCTAGCATTTCGTGGCACCAAAAGGGAAGATACAATTACATATTGCTGAATTACATCAATTACCAGATAAATACATCCAATTCGTCAAATAAATTAAAAGTGTGACTTTGGCAAAACAATTTAATGGCTCAGAGGGTGGTGGGAGGCCTCATCTGCTTTTACTTTGAAAGAAGAAAATCTCTAGATTTTTGTCTATCTTTAGAACATAATGTACAGGACTCAGCCTTCTACTATAGAGTCAAATGCTAAATTTTTGGCTGAGGAGTTACGCTACTTATATGATAAAATCATACATGTCAAAACCTACCATATTTTATTAAACAACATCATGTAAAAGTCTGATTCAACAGAAACATTGGAGTGGTGATTTTCTTAAATATGTGAAAGTATGTGTATTTGTTTCCAAAAACATTTAAAGTGGCCATGATGGAATTATAAGTTTAAACAGTTTGAGTCAAACAGATAAACTTGCATGCATGAAAGCATATTAAACAGACTGGTTTGGCTGGGAATATTTGTTGCAACTCTCAAGGTCAGATACATTTTCATGTCTCTTCTCAGTCATTGCTTTCCTCCCACTGTATTACCATTTTATCATTTAAATAAATGTAATTCATCTTTAAATGAATATAGAAAAAAGAATCTAGACAGTATTTCTTTAGCAATTTCCCTTATGCTTATCTGGTTCAGAAGGTCACATGGTATATGGCTAAATAATTTTCCCAGCCCATATGCCACTTGGAAAACTCACAGTGAGACTTAGGTTGATGAATGAACAAAGATTATGAGAATGTTTTCCAGAACCGCCATTTAGACAGCAGCACTAATCTACTTTGACACATAATTACACATTTAGATAACCCCACTGTAACTATACATGTGAGATTTTCTTGAGTAGAAAACCAGAACGGATCAGATAACTTATAAAAAGAGAAGCAGCAAGGGAACCTCTTTTATAGTTGAACTTTTTTTCTTCAAAGTCAGGAACTCTACTTGTAACAAGCCTGTCTCATTCTTAAGCCTTTGCATATCTTGCTGTAAGTCTTCCTCTAGATATGCTTTTGATGTTCTGTCACTATGTGGTGGAGAATAACTCACATTTTCTAATTCATGTTTCATGCTTTTATAGATATTAGCAGTGGGACTGTCATATGTGGGTCCCTGAAACACACTTGCCAAACACCTTCTAAGCTTTAGAAGAGCTTCTAAGTTCCATATGGCTTGTGGAACAAGCGATGTATTGGTTTTCGGCTTTGTAAATGTCTGCAATAGCAGAAATACTGTAGCTTTCTATTCGTATCACATGCTTCCATTCTTTGGAGTGAGCAAACCACAAATCAAAAAGACTTTTTGGATCTACAGACTGAGGCCAATGTCTACTGACTAATTTCCAATCTGTGGTATTTTGGGTTATATTTTCTCGTATTTGCATATCAAACTCTTGGTCTTTTTTCATTTCAGCCATAACTACTGGGTTCCTTAATTTTTCAATTTCTGTATCATTACAACAATTCTCTTTCTTCTTCATCTCTGTGAGAAACAGGCTGCATGTCTGGTTTGTTACAATCTTTACAGTCTGATCTATTTTCATTTGAATAAAGCTTAGAAGATGACTGGCAAGTGTGTTGGAGGGACCCAGAGTATAAATGCAACGATAAGACCTGAGTGAGATGGGCTCCTTCTGTTCAGCCAATGCCTGGAATAGCACAGAGTTAGACACTCCAGGTGCATCTGCTTCCTCACCATCAGGGATAGGATTCATCAGATTACAGGGCACTCCCTTTAAGTTTGTCCCTCTTTAGAGTTACAATGTAAGAGCTCTTCCTCAGGACAAACAGTAATTCTGGATTTTTCAAAACTTTCACCAATCTTCAGTTGAACTTTTTTGTAATGAATTTTTTTTTTGAGATGGACTTTCACTCTTGTTGCCCAGGCTGGAGTGCAATGGCATGATCTTGGCTCAACACAACCTCTGCCTCCCATGTTCAAGCAATTCTCCTGCCTCAGCCTCCCGAGTAGCTGGGATTACAGGCATGCACCACCACACCCAGCTAATTTTGTATTTTTAGTAGAGATGGGGTTTCTCCATGTTGGTCAGGCTGGTCTTGAACTCCTGACCTCACATGATCTGCCTGCCTCAGCCTCCCAAAGTGCTGGGATTACAGCTGTGAGCCACCACGCCCAGAATTGTAATGAATTTTAAAGGAAGTCCTGAATATACAGATATATCCTCTTTATTACAATTCTTACTCAGTTCTGGTTCTTGAGACATTTTTTTGCAGGTGCAAAAGTGGAAAATTAATTTGCTTCTTTTGTTTCTCAGATGTCTTTTCTGACAGGGTGCATGTTTTAAAATTAACTTTATTCTAAATTAAGTATGAACAAAGAAAAAATAGAAAATAATTAAAACTCAACTGTGAAACTTAATCTATGTTTTACTACTCCTAAGTTACTGGATTATAACTAAGAAGTAAAAATAATTTCCCTTGGCTTAATATAGGGGAAAAACGTGAACCAGGAAGCTTAACTCTCACTGTTTGTTTGGAGTAAACTTAATTCATTATCAATTAAATCTGACAGAAATAGGTTCACAGAAGATATGTAGTATCTAAAGGCTTTCTCTCTTGAAAAGATTTTTACCTCAGCATACCCTAAATAGTGAACCCCTACAGTGAATTCATATTTCTAGGATTAATTAAAGAGTAGGCAAATGCTAAATTATTAGAAGCCAAAATGAATACCAATCAGAAAGAAGAAAATTTTGATTCTACTTCAAATGTTATACTGTAATATGATAGTGTTATCTAGATAGGTTATCTGCTTATATCCAGGTCTAATATATTCTAAGCTCCACTAGTGACAGCGCTTTACAAATTTTAACAGCATTTTCTACTTATGTTAAAACAAGAAAGTTATTGTTTGCACCCTGACACCAAAGTCCCATTCTGGAAAGCATAATTCTCTCAATAGGCAGTTGGACTGCTTTTATGACCCCATCTTCTCCCTGAACATAGACACTGAAGGCAACCAGAAACCAAAAAACAGAAGAAGTCTTTAACCTCAGCACTGGTGACTGGCAACATAAAATTGCAGTTTGAACCACCGGGAATGATGACTCCTTTCACATGAGGTGAACTCAGTGGCCATCACCGTTCAATTGCTCATCATTTCTCTTGCTTAGTAATACAACTCAATTTTTGATGTTACCTTCTTTATCAGGAAGAAGATTATAAAAATAAAAGAGCAAAGAGAGTTCTGGAAATTTCTGGCCTCAATTCCAAGGGTACAGATAGCTATGATTTACTATAGACTATAAGAATATTTTACATTTTATAACAGGCTAAAATATTTTAAAATTCAACATGAAATTATGCTCTGTTGGATTCTAAAAGGATAGTCTAAAAGGTCACTTCATTTGGACTATGCTATGTTATTAAAGAAAAACAAACAAACCAATATTAAACCAGAAATTTAAATTGTTATATACCTGCGGCTGTTTATTTTCACTTCTTTCAAGCCTTTCTTGCTTTTCCTCTGAAGCCACTTTTAAGTTGTGTTCTGCTGACAAATCCATATGTTTAGTTAAAATGAATGACTTAAAAACTATAATCTTTATAAAAATTGATACAAAACAACACACACTTTTCTTTTATAAATTGAGAATTTAAATGAAGCTTAATGTTTACTGGAATATTTACATTTTTAAGAAACATTTCTAATTATCTAAAACTTTAACAAACCACTTGGGGAGACACTAGATATCAGCAGGTTCAAGCCATGCAAAAGTCTCAGGGTCACCCAAAAATTATTCCACCCAATATAAAAAAAAAACTGCTGGAAACAAACCAAAATTTAAAAATACAGTAAAAACACATAAAGTAACACTTTACTATTCTCTGCTTCATAACAGTATCTTTTTAACAACATGCTAAGCACATTATTTACTAATAATTTGCAAAATTTTTGTTACTGTTATACCTTTATAGTGTACACCCTGTTTTTTACATCTGAAATATTTTCCTCTACAGTTCTGATGAATTTATTTTTGTGTTTTAAGACTCAGAATGTAGGCTGGGGACGTAGCTCACACCTGTAATCCCAGCACTTTGGAAGGCCCAGGTGAGATAACTGCTTGAAGCCAGGAGTTTAAGACCAGCCCAGAGACCATAGTGAAACCCTGACTCTACAGAAAATTTGTCAGGCATAGTGGTCTGTGCCTACAGTCCCAGCTACTCAAGAGGCTGAGGCAAGAGGATCCCTTAAGCCCAGGAGTTTCAGTTTGCAGTGAGTCTCGATCATGCCATTGCACTCCACCCTGGGTGACAGAGTAAAAACTTGTTTCCAAAAACAGAAAAAAAAAAAAAAGGAAAAAAGGCTCAAAATTCTATGTGAAGTCCTCCCTGAATCTGGCTATCTTTTCTCCACGTACACAGGTGTCTCCTTTCTTGGGGCTCCCTTCGTACTTTTTGAATTTTTCTAGTGTCACTTCACCATCTGAGCTGCACATCAGGTCTTTGCATGTCTATCCCCTTTGTTGCTAGACTGTAGCAATCATCTCTGTGTAGACAGTCTTTATTTTACTAAATATTTATTGAGTTCCTGCTAAGTGGTAGGCACAGGTGTTTAAAGAATGAGAATAAAAGCTGTCAGGGATGGCTTTTCTAGAGATCATGCCTGAGCTGAGACTTAGACAGTGAGATTCACCAGATTAAAAGAGGCAGAGGGCAGGAAAGATAGCACATGCCAGGCAGCAGCAAGAGAGGGAGAGAAGCCTCCCAGAGCGTATGTTTTTGTCTACATGAGAAGGATGGTGACAGGGGCATCACCAGCAGCTCAGTAATGCCAGAAAAAGGGGCAGACAGAGAAAGGGCTGCAGATGGAGATTTGGGCAGAAGCCAGTTTCTGAAAGCCTTATATAAACCAACTATTATTGTCATTTCTTAAATTTTTTTAAAAAGCAAAACAAATTAGAAAAGCATAATTCCGAGAAAAAGACCAACATTTTATTTTATTGTATCTTATCTTATTTGACTTGAATTTTCTGAGAGATGGGGTCTCACTCTGCCACCCAGGCTACAGTATAATGTTGCTATCATAGTTAACTGCAGGCTCAAAGTTCTAGGCTGAAGTAATTCTCCTGCTTCAGCCTCCCAGGTAGCTGGAATTACAGGTGCAGAACACCACACCAAGTTACAGTTTTTGCAAAATAGTCACGAGGTCTGGCGATGTTGCCCAGGCTGCTGGACCTCCAAGCCTCAAGGGATGCTTCTATCTCAGCCTCCAACACTGACTCATTACAGGCAGGAGCCACCGTTCCCAGCAACACCAATATTTTCAAATGAATAAACTGGAGCTCTATCATTTTATTTTATCATGGATGGGTGAAAACCTTGTAATAGACTGATGTACTCCATGGATTTGTGACAAGGAAACTATACCATTAACTACGGCTGAAGCTTCCCTTGTCTCCCAGTCTCTTTACATGGTTAAGAGTAGAGATACTCAAGTGTCTTACCTTTTGCACCTTCTTTTCTTTTTTTCAATTTTTTTCTTTTTTTTCTTTTTTTCAAATTTTCAGGCTTCATAGCTGCTGTTTCTGTCAAACACGCAAACTTGTTAGATATTCCTTCTGGAAAACATCATCCCTCTGCCTCCTTACCTGGCAAAGTTTCACTTACTCTGCATGCTTACCCTAAATCCTACCCATTAGAAGCTTGCACTCATCACCACAAATTTAAAAGTGAATGGCATCTAATGAACATACTAAATACATAGTAAATAATAACTATATGCTCCCAGGTGACATCTATCCTCCATCTATCCTCTACATAATGGGTCAGCACACTGCAGACTACAGGCCAAATCCTGCCTACCATATGTTTTTTCTCAATGAAGTTTTATGAGAGTACAGTCATGCCTATTCACTGACATGCTACCTATGACGGCTTTCACACTACAATGGCAGGGTTGAGTAGCTACGACAGAGACCACATGGCCTTCAGCTGCTTAAATCGTTCTTGAAAAAGAGAGAGAGAGACCACATGGCCTAAAATATTTCCTATTTGGCCCTTTACAGAGAAAGCTTGCCAATCCCAGCTTTATACCCTGAACAGAATGCCCTAAATCTCAAATTGAATCTAATGCCTCCCCTGCTTACAATTTTCCAATGAATTTCTAGAGCAAACACTGCTGGCTCCCTATCCAAGAGCAGTTCCTTGTTGTTTCTTGCTGGAGAATCACAAATCTATGTGGATATTTATTATCCCAATACCCCTCCTCAGCTTCAAAACATAAGTGATTATTCTAAGCTAATCATATAACTACATTTGCTTTCCCGGTGCCTGGTTTAGGAATGAGCATGTGGTGTGACCCAGCTAATAAAATATTACAGAAAGGGCTGAGCACAGTGGCTCATCTCTGTAATCCCAGCACTTTGGGAGGCCGAGGCAGGCGGATCACGAGGTCAAGAGACTGAGACCATTCTGGCCAACATGGTGAAACCCTGTCTCTACTAAAAATACAAAAATTACCTGGGCATGGTCGCATGTGCCTGTTGTCCCAGCTCCTCGGGAGGCTGAGGCAGGAGAATTGCTTGAACCTGGGAGGTGAAGGCTGCAGTAATCTGAGATCATGCCACTGGACTCCAGACTGGTGATAGAGCGAGACTACATCCCCGAAGGAAAAAAAAAATTTACAAAAAGTCCCCTGCATGCTTCTGAATTTTCTCCCAATTTAAAAGACACATGTGAAGAAAAGCAGCCCTTCCAGCCTTTAGATACTGTCTTGTGAGAACATGGTGTTTGGAGCTGTTGCTAAGTAGCCAACCATGAAGGGAGACATGAACAAGACACTGCCAACAGCATAACTGAAAGAGGAACAAGTGGAATCCAATAATATCACTGGACAACCAAAACAAGTCTGGTTCTTATGGTTTTGGCCACTGTTAGGTCTTCCAGTATTTGCAGCCAAAAGCATTCTACCTCAGAAGTTTCCCCTGGCCTACAGGATAAGATCTACTCATTTCTATACTATTAGAAGTCTTTTATTGAACTTGTTTCTAGACACAGGTAAAACAACAACAAAGTCTTTCCTAAGCTTGCCTTCACTGACACGTACTAAGTATAATAAATAATAACTATAAGCTATTTTCACCTCATTACCAAGCACTCCATATATTTTTTTTTGCACTAGTAAATTTGAACTGCTCATAAACTCTACAAAGTTCACTCAGGTGTCCTACCTTTTGAACTTGCTCCTTGTGTTTTAAAACTTTCATTCTTCATGGCTGCTGCTTCTGTCAAACATGCAAGCTTGTTAGATACTATTTCTGCCAAACATCATCCCTCTGCCTCCTTACCTGGCAAAGTTCCACTCACTCTGCACGCTTACCCTAAATCCTACCCACATTTTAGAAGACTGCATTCATCGCCACAAACGTAAACGTGCCTGGCACATACTGAACGTGATACATATGTAATAAATAATAACTATAAGCTCCCAGATGACATTGGACACACAGTAAACACTATTTCAGGTAGTAAATAAAATAAATAACAGTGGTAATAACAATCTCCCAACTGTATTTTTAAATGTATTTTGTAACATTGGAAAAATGCTTAGTCTGTAACAGATACATGATAGTTATTATTTAAGTGGACAAGTATTTGAATGAATTAAAATATTTTTCTTAAAAACTCTGTTGAAAAAACACAAAAATTAAATAGTTATCTATATTCTATTATGAGCACCCTAAAGACAAAAACTATGTCAATTCCATCTTTGTCTCCTGCAATTTGCCAAACCTAACTTATAGAAGTGGTTTGATAATTATGTACTAAATTAACGGTGTCTTTATACAGTTCAGATTGTACAATGCATTAGGTGTTACATTTTTGTTATTGTGAACCATTTTTATAATTTTATTATAATTTTTGGAGCCTAGAGTTTGGCTATTGGAATATTTATTATGATTATCTCTTGCCTAATGGTAACAGAGTATTTTTTTTTTTGAGATGGAATCTTGCTCTGTCACCCAGCTGGAGTGCAGTGGTGCATTCCGGTTCACTGCAATCTCCACCTCCTGGGTTCAAGCAATTCTCCTGCCTCAGCCTCCCGAGTAGTTGGGAATACAGGTGCCCACCCCCATGCCTGGCTAATTTTTGTACTTTTAGTAGAGATAGGGTTTCACCATGTTGGTCAGGCTGGTCTCAAACTCCTGACCTCAAGTGATCTGCCTTCCTTGGCCTGCCATGTGCTGGGATTACACATGAGCCACCAGGCCCAGCCTGGTAACAGATTATCTTGTTCCAATAAAATTACTATTATTATGATAATTATCCAGCACATAAAAAAACACAGCTTGTTCTAAGAAGTGAATATATCTCATGAGGTTCCACCTTATGGTGAATAAATTAAAAATAGACCTTGTTTGTATAAGAATATGAAACATAACTTCTGCCTCTTGGAAAGGAATTACTTTTCTGTCTTCTGCATTCAGTAGCTATCTTCAAAAATAATCTCCTATTTGTATGGGTGCACATTAGCTCAGTTTTATGGTTCTTATTGCCATTTGTTTATGGTGTCAGAAAGGGATTGTTGAATTCCTAGTTCTAAAGACAGTTACTTTCTTAGTGACACAAATTCCTGTGTAATGCAGTTGACCCTTGAACAACAAGAGTTTGAACTGCAGGGGTCCACTTATATGCAGATTTTTCTTCTGCTTCTGCAACCCAGAGACAGCAAAACCAACCATTTTCTTCCTCCTCAGCCTAATCAACCTGAAGATGATAAAGATGAAGACTTTTGGGAGGATTCGCTTATGTTTATGAATACTAAGTATATTTTTTTCTTTTCTATGATTTTCTTTATAACAGCTTCATTTCTCTAGCGTACTTTATTCTAAAAGCATAGTATATAATAATGCAACACATACAAATACGTGTTCACTGACTGTTCATGTTATCAGTAAAGTTTCCAGTCAACGGTAGGTTATTAGTAGTTACGTTTGGAAGGAGTCAAAGTTATACTCAGATTTTCAACTCCACAGGGATCAGAGTCCCTAACCCCCGCAATATTCAAGAATCAACTGGAATTAATATTTATTTACTAAATGTAAACCATTTGCTATAAAAATTAAATAGAGGATCCATTTGCATAACAAGTCCAATTCGTAACAATGTAATTACAGAGGAAATTGCAACATATTAACTTAAACTAATTTCTTATTTATATTAATACAAAAATATGTAGAATTTCAGGGATCATAAGTAGGTAAATGAATTTTTTCAGACAATACGGTTTGAGATTGAGAATTAGCTACAACTTCTTAAATAACTCTGAATTCTAAAGAAATTAAATTTAAAAAATTAATTTATATATAAACATATTTTTTTAAACTGCTCTTTTATGATTAAAAATATGTAATCTTACTCTTTTTGTTTTCTTTGGAGATAGAGTCTTGCTCTTCCATCCAGGCTGGAGTGCAGTGGTGCAATCTCAGCTCACTGCAACCTCCACTTCCCAGGTTCAAGTGATTCTCCTGCCTCAGCCTCCCGAGTAGCTGGGATTACAGGCGCCCACCATGATGCCCAGCTAATTTTTGTATTTTTAGTAGACATGGGGTTTCACCATGTTAGCCAGGCTGGTCTCAAAATCCTGACCTCAGGTGATCCACCTGCCTCGGCCTCCCAAAGTGCTGGGATTACAGGTGTGAGCCACCATGCCTGGCCTGTAATTTTGCTTTTTAAAATCAGTAAGATCACCAAGGGAAATGAGAAATTTACTATCAGAAGTCTTACCTTGATTGTCATTTCGAAGATGATTTTTAAGCATCTTATTTTTATGTTCCAAAATTTGTTGTTGGATGCTATGCATAATAAATGTAATAAAATTAGTATTTTAATAGTGATATGAAAAATATTTACCAAACAGATTAAATTCTTAAAGCATTTCAGACAATATCAGAGCTAATATCAGAAATCTAATGTCCAATACACTTTAAAATTTTAAGCTCTATAAACTTATTAAGCTTCTAATTAAACAAGAAAAACAGGAAGTACTCATAAACTGAGAAAAGCATAGCTCAGTAAATTAATTCTAGTTAGCTTAACAGCCTGGAAACTGTCCTGCATTCACAGTAAGTCCTCGCTCTGTAACCAATAGGTATTTTGTTTTCAGATCAGTTGCTTCTCTTAGCCTCCATGGCTTCTTCTAAAAAATCAAGGTTTTACTACTTGACTTCACTAGGTAATTAGGAGGATGCAATGAGAAAACATGTTTAAATGTTCAGAGAAATAGTAAAGCAATGGAAAAATTTATTCTTGAACTGCATTGCTGAAACCATTTTGGAATCTCAAATAAAACCTGATGAGTGTTTTTCCATAGTTTCTAATATTTGAATGTCACAGTTTTCAGAGAATGTTATTAAGTGCTAATTTTGGTTATTAGTTCTATTCATTGTGGCTTGTAGTTCAGAGCATTTTAGCTAGTTCATAACTTGTAACTAAATTTATATACAAATATATTATTATCTCATTAAAACATATACTCTAATTGTCCCCTGTTACTGAGCTCATCAATCACACCAAGGGCAGAAAACTAATAGGTGTCAAAACCTGGCTGGGACAACTACCATTCCTTCTCTACCTCCTCAGACTCAGAGCCAGCAGGTCTGTGTTAGAGGCTGCACCTTTTTGGTCCTCTCCAACTGGCATACAAGACAAAGCCCTGCTTGTATTGTTTTTCAGTTCCATGAAAGAGATGGAAGTTGATGTTTCCTCATTTCCAAGTCATGTACTAACAACATATTTGCATGTAACATCCCGTGTGCTACTCAGCTCTGTTCTCATTTCACAGATCACCTTACATGAATACTTTTATAATGATTTTCATTATAATATAAGAGATTATATAATCTATATATAATATATAGATTATATAATCTATAATAATTATATATAATATTTATAATGATAATATAAATATTAAATATAAAAATATAAAATATAAATAAAATATAAAATAATATAAATATAAAAATAATATAATTACATATAATATACAATAATTATATAATATATAGATTATATAATCTATATGCAATATAATCTCATATAAATATGAGAGATTTTCATTATTATGGAAACACTGTAGCTGTGGGCCGGGTGTGGTGGCTCATGCCTGTAATCACAGCACTTTAGGAGGCCGAGGCAGGTGGATCACAAGGTCAGGAGATCGAGACCATCCTGGCTAACATGGTGAAACCCCGTCTCTACTAAAAATACAAAAAAAATTAGCCAGGGATGGTGGCGGGTGCCTGTAGTCCCAGTTACTCGGGAGGCTGAGGCAGGAGAATAGCGTGAACCCAGGAGGGGGAGCTTGCAGTGAGCCGAGATTGCGCCACTGCACTCCAGCCTGGGCGACTGAGCAAGACTCCATCTCGAAAAAACAAAACAAAACAAAACAAAACACTGTAGCTGTGGACTCTGTGTATGAGTCACCATGAAGAGTGAGGGATCTGAATCAGTAAGGGCATCCTGGTGGCAAAAGTCAATCATTACCAGATTGCAGGACCAGTTACAATGGCAGCAATACAGCAAGTGAATCAATGGAAACAACAGAATGACTAGAATGGCCTTTTCCCCTCTTCTTCTGACTTGTAAAGCAAGATTGTCTTCCTTGGGCTTAGGGAACCCCTTAGCTTTTTGAAAAATTCAAAGGAGGAAGGCATAGGAGGTAGCCCCAGGGGATAATACAAGATTTTCTGCTAAAGTGGACATTTCGAGACCCAATAACTAATTAGAAAAGTCAGGCCAGGCATGGTGGCTAGCAGTTTGCGAGGCCAAGGCAGGAGAATCACTTGAACTCAGGAACATGAGCAACAGAGTGAGACCTTGTCTCAAAAAAAAAAAAAAAAAAAGGAAGAAAGAAAGAAAAAGTAAAAGATGTGACATTATTTCTATCTCATATATAAGAGTTATACTTGGAATAAAATGAACAACACTGACATTCCTAGGGATAAAGGTCTTTAAAAGTCCGGAAAGAATCTTGCACTCATTGCTACTTCTAACTAGTCTAGCTTTCTGTGTGATTTCTGGCTAAGAAGTGGACTAACTTGTTGCCATTCCAAACTACCTCAACCAAACTATGAACTGTCACCTAATGTATAAGATGCAATAGTTATAATTATTTAAAACCTTAATTTAGTATTAACCGGTCTTTTAATATAAGCACATACCTTCTCAAATCACAACAAAAAGCATAATCCTCGGCAGTTTGGCCAAACATGTCTTGAGAAGAGATATGTATATTTTGTTGAAGCAGGAGGGTGACGATACTTGACAAGTTATGCTGTACTGCAAGTATGAGGGCTGTTCTAAAACAATAAAGAAATAACAGCACTCAAGAACTTTGATAAAGATATTTAATTAGCAAATTGGATACACTTTACCAATTTCATATCTTGCCTGTCAGGATAGACATAATAACCATTTACATGTACTAGCTTATGTGTATAAGCATCTTGGGTGCTCAAGTGTTCATCTTGTTAAATTACCACCAAGGCTAAAAGGCAGGGACAACAAGCAAGCTTCGTGTCCCATTGGGATATGATGTAATACGAATTGCTAATTTATAGTCCTTTGATGGCCAAGAAACTGTGCTGAGGTCACTTATTGAAAGTGGGCAAAGATTTAGGTGAAGATTTTCCCATTGCTTTCCCATTGCTTCGAATTATATTGTAATTCAAAGTCAGCTAGGGATCAAATAAGTAAGAGCTATCTGCAGGCTGAAAACAACAGCATCAACAACAACAGCAACAACTATAATAATAATAATAATAATAATAATAATAATAATAATGATAATGGTAATAGTAGTAGTTGTAAACTGAAAGTTAAAGTCTACACTTCATAAAATTAATAAAATACAAAACCCCTTTAGCTAATATAAGATTACAGGACAAAAACATCAAATTACAAATAACAGTCTATAAGAGAAGATGAATCCTACTATATACTGTTTTTTATGTTGCTTAGTCCAAATAACTTCTTTTCTACCTGATTATTCATGTTATTTTTTACTATATGCCAATAATTATAAGTTTAATCTTATTAACATTTCTGACTTGAGCGACTGTTACCACTCTAGAACACTCAGGTTTTTAGGAAAAAAGAAAACAGAAAACAAAAACTATTGCACCTTTTGAAATTGTCAACGGCATGTATATTTGCCTGGTTCTTCAATAAAAATTCCACCATATGCTGTCTCCTGGAATTTATAGCAAACAAAAGTGGAGTGTTTCCCTCCTGTAAGAAAGCAAAAACAATTTATAATTCACAAAATTACATATTTCTCCACTGAACTAAAAATCTTCTATAAGATGCTATGAACTTAAACATGCAATATAGACAGAAAGTAAATGCAAAGCAGTCCCGTCCCTTTCACTCCTCTGTGCTTTCCCACACACTGCCTTGAAACACCCCTCCTCTGCCTCCCCATGTTAACTTCGGTCATCTCCAAAACTCACTTTATTTACCAGTCCCAAAAATCCTTGCTTCTATCTCAGCATTTAGCACAGTCCATTGTAATTATTTCATTGTTTCCCACTGAAACCAAGAGATTCTCAAGGGCAAGGGCTGTATCTTTTTTCTCTATAACCCTAAAACCTAAGACATAGTAGCGAATGCTTTAAGTTTTTAAAATAAATTAATGATCTAAATTATTACCTCTAGAGAAGTGTTTCTTAAACTATATTTCAAAGAGTAGTTGTTTTACCGAAAGAACTGTACCCTAACAAAAAGATTCCATGATCATCTGCATTTGAGAAGTATTACAAAACTATATTACATGGCCAACAATCTAGAAATCCCTTGAACTTTGCCTAATCTCAGTTTGACAATACTTTTTGTGGCAAACATTAACATTTTAGGAACTAGAGTTTCAGGGATACAGTTGCCAGAGCTTCCCAATACAAGTGGAGGTTTCCTCTGGGTGGCACAAACTTGCTTGATTTACTTCTATCAATGGTCTCAGGATGCCAATGTCAGGCACTCCTGATCCAAAGGGGCCACTAAGGAAATGAGCTCTGAATTAAGAGAGATTGGCTTCAAATGCACTTATTTTCCTTATTATTAAATACTCCATGGGATTTCTCCTAATGCAAGAGGATAGATTTTTATCTTAACTATTAGAAAGCTCAGTATATTCTGTGTAAGAGAGACCAGTGAAAATTTTTTGAAAATAAATATTAAAAAGCAAAGCTCAGTAAGAAATTCTATTCTCAATTATAATGATAATCCTGGGACATTAATGCAACTTTACTTTTTAAATCCATTTGTATTGATTTCCATTTAAATTGCTATTTAACATTATTTTTTTACTTTAGGCAAAATATAAATCAGAAATAAAAATACAATGGCTTATCAAAAAAAGTTCTAATACTGATGTATAGGGCTTGTTTCTAGCATAATAAGAGCCAATAAGTCACTTGCACTTTTTTTCTTTTTTTTTGGAAATGGGGTCTCACACTGTCGCCCAGGCTGGAGTGCAGTGGCATGATCTCTGCTCACTGCAAGCTCCACCTCCCGAGTTCATGCCATTCTCCTGCCTCAGCCTCCCAAATAGCTGGAACTACAGGCACCTGCCACCACACCTGGCTAATTTTTTGTATTTTTAGTAGAGTTAGGGTTTCACCGTGTTAGCCAGGATGGTCTCCATCTCCTGACCTCGTGATCTGCCCTCCTCGGCCTCCCAAAGTGCTGAGATTACAAGCATGAGCCATCGCATCCAGCTGTCACTTGCATTTTTAAGGGACATTGCTGAGAAGAAAGATATAATGTCTGCAATATTCATAATCTATCCACTTCTCAGCAGGAATAACCTAAAAGGGCTTCTAGGCATTCTTATGAGCAGATGACTATTTGTGGTATAGATATAAAAAAAGAGTTAAAAAAACTTCTGAATTCTAAAATTCAACTCTATAATTGAGGGATTTATATAAACTATAGACTATATATTATGAACCAATATATGCTGTCTTGAAAACCTTGAAATCTTTATGAAAATATACTATAAAAAAGGAGTTGTAAACTCAAATACTTATAAGGATGAAGGAGGTTACCTAAGTAAGTGAAGTACTCAGGTGGGCACAGTAGCAAACTGGAGAATATGTGCCTCCTACCCAGGGCAACCTCTGCGCAGCAGACCAAGCAGTGATGTGGTTCTGGGGACACCAGATTTGTTTCTTAAGCCTGAGGTCCAGACTTCTGCATGAGTCCACTAAAGTTTACATGTTGACTCAATTCAAAGAGGCAAAGAACAAATCTATACACCACATTTAGACTATAGCTCTTGTGTTTTTATATTTGCTATGAATGTGTTGCTAAATGATTGTGTATAAACCAAGTATTTGCATGTGGAACTTTTTCTCTGTCTAGTATCGTATGTTTAATAAAAAAACTCAGGCCCTGATATATACATAATAAAAATTGCTGTTAACACTCATAATACCCACCTCAAGAATTTTCCCAACATTTATTCATTTGCAATCTATGTGTATATAATTTTCCCAGATTGTTAACCAAATAGACAATTAGTTCATAGGAATGCTGAAACTAAATTATTAAAAGAATTCCTATTGCATTCTCACTGACTTCAAGGATTTCAGTGTTTAAAACTGACATCCCGATAATGCCAAAGCTCTATAACCTTAACAGACATACTGAGATAGTCCCTAATACAACTGCAACTGAAAAAAAAAGGTTCAAGATTTGCTACTGATCTAACTGAGAAAATCTCACTTGTAATGAACATTTGTTGATACATAATCACTTGAATGGTGACAAAGGAACATGAAATTGTGAAAGGGTCAGCCTCTACTTATTGAAAGATTACCCACAAGTAAATTGCTAAAGACTTTCTGAATGGCAGTGAATGATTCATGGTGGGAAGCAAAAAGTGTCATTCTGTAAGCTGAGTGATATTGCCAATGATATTTCCTTTCACTTCCCAGTCACAAACGTAGAGAAAGACAGATAAGTCAGTTTAATGTTATTGGAAAAGAGAACTTTGAAGAAAGTAGCACCTATCAAATGCCAACTCTTTTAGAGATTTCTTATGTCTTTGAGATACGGGAATTTATATCCTGCACTTATCTATTCTGTGCTTCTTAATCAGGAGTGTATTCGAACACTGAGGTTTTTTTTTTTTTTTTTTTTTGCTCTTGTTGTGGTAAGAGACAAGAGTCTTACTATGTATTTTTAGTAGAGACGGGGTTTCACCGTGTTAGCCAGGATGGTCTCCATCTCCTGACCTCGTGATCTGCCCGCCTCAGGCTGGACTCAAACTCCTAGGCTCAAGCAATCCTCCCACCTCAGCCTCCTGAGTAGCTGGGACTACAGGAACATGCCACTGTGCATGGCTTCAAGAAAATATTTTTAACCATACATGTTCAGAACTTATTAGATCTATTACATCAAAATCCTCAGGGGAAAGCCTACACTTGTAGACTTTTAACAAAATTTCCCCAGGTCATTGTAATGCACAATCCTAGCTGAGAAATACTGCAGCAGACAATCACTTCAGTTTCATCTCTCACCCACATGGCCAATATCCTTTATCAACTTGGGATGTGGCCAGAGAGAAGAGTATGAGATAGAGTTATGTATTAAAACTCCAATTAATTTTCCTGGGTGTGGGTATAACAGGGACAAGTAAACTCAAAATCCCAGTTGATTTTGCTATTTATAAGCTGCTTATCTCCCACATTCCCATCAAGATATTCTAGATTTGAAAGGAGAGTTTAGACTCTTATCTAAGTGGCTGTTTTTGCCGGGATGGGTAATAAATCAGTTACTAATTTGTTCCACCCTTTGCTGAAGTGTTTCTCACTTCATCACCGTATATTCACTGCCAATCTGTTTTCCTCAGAGTCCTCTAAAAATTAATCTTTAGGCAAGTTTCAGTCACTCTTTTTACCAAACCAAAAATGATTACCCCAAAGCTGAAGAGCGCTTTGTCTCAATACATAAACTGGAAAAACAACAAACTAAAAAACAAAACCTATTCTTGGCATTTTCCCTCATTACCTAATTTCCAAGTGACCTGCATGTTTTTGATTGCTCTCCTTTTCCCTTCCTATTTTTCCGTCTTAAACCTTGCCCATGAAAGATACATCCATTTTGTTAGAAAACCATCAGCAGCAATACTTCTATTTATTGTAAGTTGCTTTAGTTTTGAGTTTTAAGATAAAGCCTATTTCCAGGGCAATTTTTTTCCTGTGATGTTTTCACACTAATTAGAAAAAAAATACACCTGGGGTAGGAAACAAATACTTGAAAAGAAGAAGTTTTACCTTAACAAATTCACAAATACTTCCCATAAGTGCACTAAAATAGCTGTGCCCTCTAATGCTCCTTTAAAAGTATCAACATTTAAAGTAAAATTTTAGACAATTAAGTTATTTCAAAACATTTTCATTCAGGAATACTTGAGTTCCAAATATGAAAAATTGACTCTTACCTATGTCAATATTAAAACAAACATTTTGAAAAGAAAGTTGATTGATCTGTACCTTGTTTAGTGCTTCAATATTTGCATGGTGGGAAAGCAGTCTTTCTGCCAGTGAAGTCCCCTCATTATACACGGCATAATGGAGAGCAGTGTTGCCGTAGATATCCTTAATGTTTGGATTGGCGCCACGTTTCAGGAGAATAATGGCACAAGCCTCTTCCTGGCAGTGTACAGCCTATTAGTGTTAGATAAAAAACTAGACTATAAATTCTAAGAATTCAAAATACATATTCCACAGGTTTCACCAACTAGCTATATTTAAATGAGACAAATTCATTTTAATTCTATGTATTTAAATCAAATCCATTTCATGCTGAGTTGGCTACTATATACCTTCATTAAAGGTGTCCTGTTTAGTCTGTCACAGATGTTGATCTGGCATTTTCTGTCCAGCAAGAGAGTGACCACTTGCACACGGCCATGGGCACAGGCCAAATGTAGAACAGTCCTAGGAGAGCGAGAGGGGTTTTCAGGAAATGTAGTGCAATATCTCAAAACCTACAATGGTTCATGTCATTGTAAACATTGAATGGCATTATTCCTCTGCCTTCAAAACAAATAATTTTCTTTTGAAGAAAGTACAATATTTATTAGCTCTTACTGCTCCCTACCTTAATGAAACAGCAGCCTATTTGGATAGAATGAGCTTGGTGTTTGGATTCAGCTTAACTAGGGCTTGAGTTCTACTTTGAACTCGGTCACCTACCAGCTATTGCTTAGCCTTTCTGTGCCTGAATTTCCTCATTAATAAAGATGACAACAGCAGCTAGCTCACAGGACACCACTGTGATGCTTAAATGAAAATCTTCATAAAGCATTTAGAACTGTTTCCAGAACAAGCAACAACTCAATAACTGTTAGACTTTTGTTTGTTGAGACAGGGTCTTGCTCTCTTGCCCAGGCTGGAGTGCAATGGTGTATTTATGCCTCACTGCAGCCTGGCACTTGTAGGCTCAAACAAACCTCCTGCCCCAGCCTCCTGAATAGCTGGGACCACAGGAGTGCACCAGCATGATCAGCTAATTTTTAAATTTTTTTTGTAGAGTAGGAATGTCACCTTGTTGCCCAGGCTGGTCTCAAACTCCTAGCATCATGGGAACTTCCCACCTCAGCCTTCCAAAGTTCTAGAATGACAGGTGTGAGCCACGCACCCAGCCAGACGTTATAATTATATTACTACTATTTAACAAAAACATTTTAATTAAGTAAAATGATACAATTATTGCTATTTTGCAGGATGATTTAAAGATTAGGTCACATTTTAGCATATCTCATATTGGAGCGGTATTTACAATTCATAATTTTTTATAACTATAATTGGTAGCATTTAAAAATCATCTCATTAATGTAGAAAATAGTAGGATATCACACAATCCATGAGGCCTTACATTAAGTAGAATACTGTATACACAGCAGGTCTAGGGCCGTTCTAGGCATCTAACTGACACTTAAATACATTTTAATTCCTAAAAGTACCATGGGGAAAGAGCACTGAAATAACAACATATTTTTTAAACAAATTACTTCTTACTTTGATTTTTAAAAACATGCAGCTGGCCGGGCGCGGTGGCTCACGCCTGTAATCCCAGCATTTTGGGAGGCCAAGGCGGGTGGATCTCTAGGTCAGGAGTTCAAGACCAGCCTGACCAACATGGTGAAACTCTGTCTCTACTAAAACTACAAAAATTAGCTGGGCGTGGTGGCAGGCACCTGTAATCCCAGCTACTCGGGAGGCTGAGGCAGGATAATCGCTTGAACCTTGGCAGCAGAGGTTGCAGTGAGCTGAGATCACGCCACTGCACTCCAGCCTAGGCGACAGAGTGAGACTCTGTCGCAAAAAGAAAACAAACAAACAAACAAACAAAAAAAGAAACATGAAGCTAAAGGAAACTCATGATTGAGATGAATAGGTATGGCTCATTTTAGTCAACACTTAAGATTTACAGAATATATGCAAATCAGACTTTCCAATGATTAATATTAGTATTTAAGACTGATAAATTTTCAAAAGGGCAGTTAAAGGTTATCTCTTATTGTTTTCTACCTTCAGAAATGCTTTTGCTTGAAAGGTGGGAGAAAAAGCTTCAATGAGATTAAGTCCTACTATTCCCATTTTAAATCTCTCATCTTGCTCAGGCAGAACAGGTAAACATAAAGTTTTTAAGTATGGAAGCATCCTGAGAGATAGTGCAAAATGTCTGCTACATAACATATTCAGGTTATGTTTGATGAATAAATGGATTGATAGAATACAGTTGGGGAGCTCAAAATTTTTAAATACAACTTCTATAAACCAATATTTTTGTGATAGTAATAATATTTGCTATTTGTTATTTTGATAAGACAACTATAATGAAATGATTAATCTATCAGTTTGCCTATATGTAATGAATCTATACATAAGAAAAACATATATACATAATAAAGTATATACATAAAATCTGCAAGCACAGATAAAAAGATTCCCTTTTTACTTCTGAAGAAGCTAAAAGTTCAAACAAGATAACAACCCTCACAATAATGATAAAAAATAGTGAGAAATTATTTTTATCTGTACAAGATTCACATTTCTCTCTTCCCAAAATTTATTCCATTAATAATAAATTTTTACTAGAAATTTTATAAATGCTCACTTCAGAAATCAAAGGTAAGAAAAAGGAACAAAAAACTTTAAAATACAAATGCTCAGAAGTTACAAATTTTATCCTATTTTGTGCATAGTTTTGCCTAACACAAGACCATAGTATGTTTGTGTGTATGTGCAAGCAAACTGATTTGTTTTTCCTCACTGGCTGTAACAAAATGCATCTTCACATATCAACATACTTCTCCACCTATTGCCACCTTCAATGGCCACATACCCATTCTATGGGTTCTTGTTAACATAAATGCTGGGGAAAAAAAGTGCATGTATCTGTATTTTCTGAAGGTATTTTAATACAATGGAGTTGATGGGTAAAGGGCATATACATTTTTAAAATGTGGTAATTATCTCCAAATTATCCACTTGAAAAGTCATCAGCAACTTACACTTCAAGCAGCAGTGTAAGTGCCACTGCTCTTTATTCTCACAAACACTGTGGATAGAAAACAGTCTCATTCCTCTTTTAACTTAAATTCTCTTAGGAGAAACACTAAGGATTTTTTCCTATGTAAATAAGTAACTTGTGGATCTGCAAAAAGTACTTTGCTCACTGTTAGAGTTCTTTTCTTGTGGATTTGATTGGAAAGAATTCCCTGTAAAATAAAGATGTGCTTTTTATCTGTATATATGTATAACTGATATATATAACATTATGTTACTAATATATACAATTTGTTATACATATAATCAGTAATATATATATTATATTTAATAAAGAATAAATTCCCTGTAGGATGAAGATACACTTTTCATCTGAATATATATTTTTATATATTAGTAAAAATATATATAGTAAATATTTTTCAAGTGTGTTATCTTTTGTTAATTTTTTTCTGATACACAGGGGATTTTAATTTTAGTTTGCTAAATCAACCTTCAGAATGCCTGCTTGTGAGGTCATTCTTAGGAAGGCCACTGTTAACGTAAAATGTACCTGTATAAATAAGTCTTTGTGTTTTCTTCTGGTATTTTTCTAATTTTGCATATGTAAAAATTTCAGTCTGTATTCCATCAGGAACTCATTTTTGTGACATAAAATTTCATTAGTTTTCTTCACACAGCAGGCATTTTATTAATAACTCGTCCTTTCCTACTCATCTGAAATGTTACCATTATCAATCCCTATGTATATATCTTACATATATTTCAGTGTTTTTGGATTTCCTATTCTGTTCCATTTATTTATATGTGTTTGTAGCTGTTAGTAAATAATTAATTGTGGGAATTAATAGCACGTTTTGATATCTAGAGGAGCAAGTCGTTTTTCACTCCATCATAAACATTTTAAAATGTCATCACAATGGTAAGACAGACAGCAAGTGTCATGCAAAAATGATAAAACCTTGATATTTTCATTCGGTTTATGTAAAACTGATAAACATATTAAGAGCTCACATTTTGAGAAAACTGAGTCTTCTCATTCAAGGAACCCACCTCCCACTTCCAAGTGTCCCTCTAAGAAGCCCCAGTAAAGAACCTATCTACCTAGGTGGATTTGGATGTAAAACCGACACAGGGTTTTATCTGAGAACTCTTCGCCTACTGAAAATGGCTCATGGTATTTTTGACATGGGAATGAGTTCTCATTAGGCACCTCCCTATCATGTATATGGCTCCATGTTTTAAACGTAGATATGCTTAACTTTGTGAGTTAAATCACTCCAATTATCCACCAAGCGCTACAGGCGGGAAATTCCCAGCGATGGAAAGCAGCTGAGGCTCCATTTGGCTCCGCGGCTCCCAGGGTCCCGGCGAACTCCGACGACCCCGCCTCAGGCGGTGCGGGGAAACCGGGCCTGGGGGCCCCCTCCCACCGAGGGCTGAGCCCCCGCTACCTGTCTTTTCTGTCGCGGACGTCCAAGTCCCGGAACCTGCGCGTCAGGCAGTGCTCCACCTCTGCGGCGTCGCCCTTGATGGCCGCCCTGTGGATCTTCCGCAGTTCCCAGTCCCGAATGTGGTACCCCCGACCCGCATACTCTTGGTCCATGGAGCTCAGGAGCGCCTGGCCCAGGCGTCTCCCAAAACTGAGGAGCTTCCTCATGGTGGCGACTTCTCAGATGCCCACCACCCGCTCCTGAGACGCCGCGGCTCCTCGTGGCCTTTCCACCCCCACCCAGCTCCAAATTCGAGATCCCCCTCCCCACCCAGCGATCCACCCCTAAATCCAAGATGCACCCCCAAACCCGCGATGTAGCTCAGAATCCGCGATCCAGCCCGGTCCACTACAGCCTTCAGCAGCGACACTCGCAGCCTCCGACCTCTCGATAGAGTGAGCCCAGTAAAGCGGTTAGGCGCGCGCCTACAGCTCAGCGCCAGCCCGGACTCCGGAAGGCGCCCTCGAGCTCGCGTGGCCCGCAGAGGGTGACTGCAGCTCGGGCTCAGGCGCCGCTGGCTTGCGGGTTCTCCTGGGCTGGCGCGGGACGTTCCGGAATCTCAGGCGCGCATCCCTTCCCGCCTGGCCGTGACTCCCGCCCCTCTTCTCCGAAGAGAGATCGGGGCCGCTCCAGGGACCGTCCGCGGGGATGGGGCTGAGGGTCGGTTCCTGCCCCGGTGCAGCCGCCGCCGGGCAGACCGCCTGGCTTGGCCGCAGCCACGGCGACATCTAGCCCCGGTTCTGCGAGGCTGGGCGCGCCAGCCAGCTTGGGAGTTGCCCGGCGCCTGTAGCTGGGCGCCCAGGTGGTGGAGCATGGCCTGGGCGGCCTCTGGATCGCGGGTGCCCCTGGCCTGAGAGCCCGCCAGACCCTGCCCCCTCCCGGCTCCTCCTCTGCCAGAGCTCGAGACCTCTAGCCAGGGGCCCTCTGCAGCCACCGGGGATGGGGCTGAGGGCCGGTTCCCGCCCCCGTGCAGCTGCTGCAGGGCAGACCGCCTGGCTCGGCCGCAGCCACAGGGACATCTGGCCCTGCTTCCGAGATGTGGGGAGTGCGGGCGGGCCCAGGAGTTGCCTAGAGGCTGCTGCCTGCACACAGAGGGCGACTGCAGCTTGGGCGCCCAGGCAGCGGAGCATGGTCTGGGTGGCCTCTGGAATGCGTGCGCGCCAGGCCTGAGGGCCCCCCTGGTGGTGCCACCTGCCCTGGTCTTCCTCTGCCTGAGCCTGGAGCAGCTGAAATGGCCACTCTGCAGTCACAGGGGATAGAGTTAAGTTTTCTTATCCCACGCATGCACACGAAAAGGTAACTATTCTGTGAGGTAATTAACATGTTCATTGACTTCATTTTGGTAATCATTTCAGAATGTGCATATAAACGCATCACATGTACAATTTTTATTTCTCTATTACACCTCAGTAAAGCTGAAATAATTAACAGGATTGAAAGGATAAACCCACAGTTCTATAGTCACAGTTGGACACTTCAATACCTCATTTTAATTAATGGATAGAAAAACCAGACAGAAGCTTCATGAGAAATACAAGACTTAAACAACAGTAGAAGCCACTGAGAGCTAATACACATATACAGAACAGTCCATCCCAACAACAGCAGAATATACATTCTTTTCAAGTTATGTGGAACTTTCTCTAGGATAGGCCATATCTTCATCCACAAAATATGTCCTAATCATTTTTAAAAGTTTGAAATCATACAAAATATAATTTACAACCACAATGGAAGAAACAACAGATAAATAAGTGAAAACTGGAAAATTCATGAAAATGTGGAAATTAAACAATACAGTCTTCAACTACCAGTGAGTGAAAAAATAAATTACAAGCAAAATTATAAAATATCTTGAGACAAATTAAAATAAAAACAAAACATACCAAAACTTATTGAATGCAGTGAAAGTAGAGTTCAAAGGAAAATGTATGGATATAAACAACTACATTTTAAGAAAAAATCTCAAATCAATATCCGCACTCTATACCTAAAGGCAGTGGAAGAAAACAAAAAAAGACTAAATCCAAAGCTAGCAGAAGGAAAGAAATAATAAAGAGCATAATTAGAGCATAAATCAATAAAATAAAAGGTTGGAGAGCAGTAGAATAAATAAACATAGATTCTTTGAAAGATCAAGCCTTTCACTATATTGACTGAGCAAAAGATGGAAGACTAATTATTAAAATAATAAATGAAAGCAGAGCCATTACTACCAACTTTACAGAAATACAAAAGGATTACAGGAGTATACTGTGAACAACTGTCCAACAACAAATTAGGTGCCCTGGATGAAATGGACAAATCACTAGAAAGACATAAACTACCAAAGTGGCTCCAGAAAAAAGAGAAAATCTGAATAGACCTATAACCTAGGAGACTGAATTAGTAATCAAAAGCGATTATTTGTTATTCATTAATAAAATGCAAGACAAAACCAAAATGAGATGCCACTTTGCATCCACTAGTAAGGCTTTCATAACAACGACACAGAAAATAAATGTTGCTAAGGAGGTGGAGAAATTGGAGCCCTCGTGAACTGGCTGCTAGGAATAGAAAATGATGCACTTGCTGTGGAAAACAATTTGGTGGTTCCTCACAGAATCACACGGAGAACCAGAAATTCCACTCCTAGGCATTATTCACACACAAAAAATTGGCAGCAGGGTCTGGAACAGATATTTTTACACCGAAGTTAATTGCAGCATTATTTGTTATAGCCAAAAGGCAGAGACAACCCGTGTCCATCAACAAATGAATGGATACACAAAATATGATACATAAATAATAGAATATTATTCAGCCATTAAAGAGGATGAAGTTCTGATACATGCAACATGGGTGAAACTTGGAAACATGATGCTGAGTGAAGTAAGCCAGACACGAAAGGACAGATGTTCTATTATTCCACTGATATGAAATATCTAGAATAGGCAAATTTGTGAAAATAGAATGAAGATTAGTGTTTCCCAGAGACTGGGGAGAGGGAGCAAGGCTGAGTTATTGTTTAATGGGTACTTTATTTCTGTTTGTGATAGAAATGAAGATGCTGGTTATACAAAACTGGGAATGTACTTAATGCTGCTGAATTATATACTTAAATTTAAAATTTTAACACAATTTAAAAATTTAAATATAGATCTGAGAATTATTCCTATATCCATTTTTATTTAAAAGTTATTTGCTCAATTGCCAAATATTAAGGTTTTTCTGAATATATTTTTGTTATTGACTTAATGTAGTCCTATTTTGCTCAGAGTACAAACTCTGAGCAAAATTTTGATTTATGATTTAAATCCTTTTATATTTATTGAGAATTATTTTATGGTCCAGTATTTAATCTATCTTGATTAATGTTCCACATACACTTGAAAAGCAGATCTGATGATCGTCACCTTTACTCTGTTGATGTCTGTTTCACACATTTTGAAGTTTCACTAGGTTCACCCATTTAAGATTGTTAATTTTATGAACTGGCCTATTTTGATTATGACTCGACACCTTTATCTTTGGCAGTACTCCTGTTCTGAAGACTTTATCTAATATTAATATGGGCACACCAACTCTTTTAGGATTAGTATTTGCATGGCACATTTACATCTATACTTTTGCCTAAATGTTGTGTCTGTATCTAAAATGTGGTTCTTGTGAGCAGCATAGTGTTGGGTCTTGTTTATTTATTTACTGTTTAATCTCATCTGAAAATCTGAACTTTGAAATTGAGATATCCAGTCCTTCTATATTTATGTATTAGAAACAGGGTCTGGCTCGGTCACACAGGCTGGGCTGCAGTGGCATGATCATAGCTCATTGCAACTTTGAACTCCTAGAGTCAAAGGATCCTCTCACCTCAGCCTCCTGAGTAGCTAGGAACGCAGGGATATGGCACTGTGCCTGGCTAATTTTTTATTATTTAAATTTTTTTTTTGCAGACACAGGATCTCACTATGTTGCCAGGGCTGGTCTCAAACTCCTGGTCTCAAGTCATCTTCCCACCTCAGCTCCCAGAGTGCTGGGGTTACACGCGTGAGCTATGAAGGCTGGGCCCTTTTATATTTAATGTAATGGTTGAAATGACTAGATTTAAGTGTACCCTGTTGCTATCTGTTTTCTGTCTCTGTTTCTTTTTTTCTTGATTCTTTCTTTAGTGTGATTATTTTTTAGTCTTCTGTTTTCTCTCTTCTGCTGGCTTTTTAGCTATATCTGTTTGTTTCAATTTTTTAAATTGTTAGTTGAAAGATTACAATACATAGGCCGGATGTATTGTGGCTCACACCTGTAATCCCAGCACTTTGGGAGGCCGAGGCCTGCAGATCACATGAGGCCCAAAGTTCAAGACCACCCTGGCCAATATGGTGAAACCCTGTCTCTGCTAAAAATACAAACCAATCCAGGTGTGGTGGCGTGCTCCTGTAATCCCAGCTACTTGGGAGGCTGAGGCATGAGAATCGCTTGAACCCAGGAGGTGGAGATTGCAGTGAGCCGAGATCACGCCACTGCACTCCAGCCTGGGTGACAGAGCGAGACTCCGTCTCAAAAAAAAAAAAAAATTACAATATGTATCTTTATCACAGTCTACCTTGAATTTATATACATATATATATATATATATATATATTTTTTTTTTTTTTTTTTGAAATGGAGTCTCACTCTGTCGCCCAGGCTGGAGTGCAGTGGCACAATCTTGGCTCACTGCAAGCTCCACCTCCTGGGTTCGTGCGATTCTCCTGCCTCAGCCTCCCGAGTAGCTGGGACTACAGGCGCCCACCACCATGCCCGGCTAATTTTTTGTATTTTTAGTAGAGACGGGGTTTCACCATGTTAGCCAGGATTGTCTTGATCTCCTGACCTCATGATCCCTCCATCTTGGCCTCCCAAAGTGCTGGGATCAGAGGCGTGAGCCACCGCGCCCAGCCTGAATTAATATTTTAACACTTTTGTTAAAGACAAGAGCCTTAAAATGGTATAATTCCAATTACTCTCTTCTGTCCTTTATGTTAGTTTTGTCACTTATTTTTTTTCTGCATGTTTGTTGTGAGTTATCAGGAATTATTGTTGGATTTTGCCAAAATTCTTTTATGTCTTTTGACATGATTCTATTGATTTTCTACTTTATTTATATGATGTACAATGTTCGTTGTGTTTTAGATAGTAAGCCAAATTTGCATTACTAGTATTAATTCCAGAGACATGTAGTGTATGATCGTTTTACATACTGTTGGATGTAATTTGCATCCAGGTTGTTAAATACATTTGGACGTAAACTTATGAGAGATATTGTTTGGCACTTTCCTTTTCTTCTGATGTCTCCATCCTGCTTTGGTATCAAGCTAATACTGGCTTTCTAAAATGTTTTGGCATATCCTCTCTTCTGTATTTGCTGGAAATGTTTGTGTATGACTGGTATACTTTCCTCCTTAAATGTTAAATGGAATTCATGGGTTAAGGCATCTAGCACTACACTCTTCTTCAGGGGGAATATATTTAATTACTAATTCAATTTTTTTTTACTTTATATACATCTATTAAGATTTTCTATTTGTTCTTTAGTCAATTTTGCTACTTAATGTCTTTATCGGAATTTGCTTATTTCATTTATGTTGCTAAACTTGTTGACATTTGTTGTTCCTCATAATATCTTAAATTCCTTTAAAATTTCTGTTGAATCTGTTGTGAGGTTCTATCTTTCATTCTTTTTTTTTTTTTCTCAGACAGAGTCTTGCTCTTGTCACCCAGGCTGGATCCAGCATCCTGCTACTGGATATATAGATAAAAGAGAAATATTATATCTTTGAGATATGGAATCAACCTAAGTGCTGCTCTAAGCATACAAGTGCAGATATCTTTTTTATATAGTATGTCTCCTTTATGTATATATTCAGTAGCAGGATTGCTGTATTCCATATCTTTATGATAGCAAAGATATGAAATCAATCTAAGTGTCCATCAATAGATGATTGGCTAAAGAAAATGTGGTATGCATACAGTGGAATACTATTCAGCCATAAAAACAACAAAATCCACAATATTCTCATGTAACAAATCTGCACATGTATCCCTATGTCTAAAATAAACTTCAAAATTTTAAAAAGAATGAAATTATGTCTTTTGCAGCAACATGGATGGAAATGAAGGTCATTATCTTAAGTAAAATAACAGAAACAGAAAGTCAAATACTGCATGTTCTCACTTATAAATAGGAGCTAAATAACACATACTCATGGACACAGAGTGGAATAATAGTCATTGGAGGCTCAGAAGGGTGTGTGAGTCAGAGGGGTGAGGGTTGAGAAATTTCATAGTGGATATAATGTGCACTCTTCAGGGAATGTTTACACTACGAGTCCAGACTTCACCACTACCCAGTATGTTCGTGTAACAAAACTACACTCGTACCCCTTAAATTTATACAAATACAAATTAAAACATGCATCAGAGAGGACCTTAATTTTTTTCTCTTTTTCTCTTTCTTTCTTTCTTCTTTTTGACAGAGTTTTGCTCTTGTCACCCAGGCTGGAGTGCAGTGGTGTGATCTCAGCTCACTGCAACCTCTGCCTCCCGGATTCAAGTGATTCTCCTGCCTCAGCCTCGAGAGTAGCTGGGATTCCAGGCCTGAGCCGCCACTAGTAGAGTTGGGGTTTTAACATGTTGGCCAGGCTGGTCTTGAACTCCTGACCTCAGATGATCTGCCTGCCTTGGCCTCCCAAAGTGCTGGGATTACAGGCGTGAGTCACTGCGCCTGGCCAAAATCAGTTATCAATTAATTTTTAAACATGTAACTAGCAGGGGTCCCAGTAGTGGGGGGACCATTATTGCATGCTTTGAAATTTGAGGGTCCCATTCTGCTTATTAATCTCTAGGGAGCAAAAAACAAAACAAAAAAAACAGAACAAACCAAAAAACTCTACGATGCCTATCAGGGAATGTTTAAGATTTGTACCAGTGTTCTGTGTTACAATGTGTTTGACACAGAATTTTGTTTTACTTGATGGGCAGGCTGTGATCTAATTGCCTAGTTGTGACCAATTTTTCCCTAGATGCATAAATTTTTTTCTGAGACTAGCTGACCACTAGGGGTCACCTTGCCTGCCTGTGTACTGGTTAATTAATCCTTACCCAACAGACTTTTCCTTCCAAGACTTTTTCTTCCAAGACTGTCCTAATAGCTTTTTAATTTTTTTTGTTTGTTTGTTTTTGCTTTTGTTTTTTAGACAGAATCTTGCTCTGTTGCTCAGGGTGGAGTGCAATGGCATAATCTCGGCTTACTGCAACCTCTACCTCCCAGATTCAAGTAATTCTCCTGTCTCAGCCTCCTGAGGAGCTGGGACTACAGGCGTGCCCACCATGCCCAACTAATTTTTGTATTTTTTCTAGAGAAGGGGTTTTCCCATGTTGGTCAGACTGGTCTGGAACTCCTGACCTCAGGTGTTCCACCCGCCTCGGCCTTCCAAAGTGCTGTAATTGCAGGCATGAGCCACCACACCTGGCCCCTAATGGCTTCGAAAGGGTTGACTCAGGCCCACCTCTATAGAAAGTAGATTTTGCTTTCAAGAAACATTTAGGGCCAGGTGCAGTGGCTCATGCATGTAATTTGGGAGGCTGAGGCAGTAGGATCCACTGAGGCCGGGAGTTCAGGACTGGCCTGGGCTACATAGTGAGACCCTGTCTCTACGAGATACAAAAAAAAAACAAAAAATTAGCCGGGTGTGCTGGCATGTGCCTATAGTCCCAGCTGCTGGGGAGGCTGTGGTGAGAGGATCACTTGAGCCCAGGAGGCCGAGGCTACAGTGAACTATGATTGCACCACTGCACTCTTGCCAGGGTGACAGAGCAAGACCCTGTCTAAAAATATGTATATATTTTACACTAGTTCCTTATCAATTTTTTAAATATGATTTTCTGCATAATCCTGGCAATGTCTTTTTTTAAATCTATGAACATGAACACATAACATTCTGATTGATTCTGTTAACATAATTTATTACATTAATGGATTTCCAAGTGTTGACTCTCACTTGCATTTCTGGCACAAAAGGCAGTGGGATTATGATGTAATGTTGCAATGTGCTCACACAGTGGCTTCTAGTGCTGACACAATGGCTTCTAATATTTAAAAAGTCTACATTTATATTCACATGTCCTATACTTTTGTAATACATGGCTCAAACCAGGGTAAGATCTCATATCACCTTTATGCACCCTTCCTGAAAACTATTGGGAAGATTGACTAAGACTTGAATAGTTTAGGTAGCGTCAGGTTATCAGTTAGTTTACTAGTAGAATTTCTCTCTGGATCATATGAACTTGGTGCTTCTGTGTATTTGAGGGACTCTGATAAATGTCTCTTTTTCTTTTATAAATATTGTACAATTTAGAATCTCTATCTCTCTAGGGGTAAACGTTAATAAAATATATATTTATAGAATATATAACATCTACATTTGATTAATTTACATTGGAATGCCCAACATTGTTCCCATTTATTTTTCATATCAGTATTTGACTTCAAGTTGCTGTTTGCACTGTAATCTGTTCACATATCCTTCTCAAGTTCCTCGCATGATCCCGTCTCTCCGTTCACAGTGAAATAATAGTTTGGCTCAGGAATCTGAGGATTAACAGAAAATTGGGTTTTCTGTAGGGGACCATCTCAGGAAAGCACAGACTCCAGTAAAACATGTGCACTCTGCTGCCAGCCCCTAGTCTAGACTCACCCCTTCCTGCTCCCTCCCTAGGAGCCCCTTCCTGTTGCCTCCAGGGATTATGGAAAGCAACAGCCTCTGCCAAACACTCTCATCTTGCTAGAGATGCCCACTAGAATGTGGGGAAAAGAAAGAGAGATCAGACTGTTACTGTGTCTATGTAGAAAGAAGTAGACATAAGAGACTCCATTTTGTTCTGTACTAAGAAAAATTCTTCTGCCTTGAGATGCTGTTAAATCTGTAACCCTAGCCCCAACCCTGTGCTTGCAGAGACATGTGCTGTGTTGACTCAAGGTTTAATGGATTTAGGGCTATGCAGGATGTGCTTTGTTAAACAAGTGCTTGAAGGCAGTATGCTTGTTAAAAGTCATCACTACTCTCTAATCTCAAGTACCCAGGGACACAATACACTGTGGAAGGCTGCAGGGGCCTCTGCCTAGGAAAGCCAGGTATTGTCCAAGGTTTCTCCCCATGTGATAACCTGAGACATGGCCTCGTGGGAAGGGAAAGACCTGACCATCCCCCAGCCCAACACCCGTAAAGGGTCTGTGCTGAGGAGGATTAGTGAAAGAGGAAGGCCTCTTTGCAGTTGAGACAAGAGGAAGGCATCTGTCTCCTGCTCGTCCCTGGGCAATGGAATGTCTCGGTGTAAAACCCGATTGTATGTTCCATCTACTGAGATAGGAGAAAACCACCTTAGGGCTGGAGATGAGACATGCTGGTGGCAATACTGCTCTTTAATGCACCGAGATGTTTGTGTATGTGCACATCAAAGCACAGCACCTTTTCTTAACCTTGCTCATGACACAGAGACCTTTGTTCACATGTTTTCCTGCTGACCCTCTCCCCACTATTACCCTATTGTCCTGCCACATCCACCTCTCCGAGATGGTAGAGATAATGATCAATACATACTGAGGGAACTCAGAGACTGGTGCTGGCACGGGTCCTCCGTATGCTGAGTGCTGGTCCCCTGGGCCCACGTTTCTTTCTCTATACTTTGTCTCTGTGTCTCTTTCTTTTCTCAGTCTCTCGTTCCATCGGATGAGAAACAACCACAGGTGTGGAGGGGCTGGCCCCCTTCACAGAAAATTGTACTTGTTTTTGGTAATTGGTAACTGGGACAAAGTTTATTGAAATATCTTTAGCTCCCCAAATGTGCACTGTCATTGTTGCCACAGGTGAACTGCTCATTGCAGTGATGTGAAAAGGTGAGGTCACAGGACACAAACCCATATCTGAGACCTGGATGCCTCCCTCCACGCACTCACCCACTGGCTGTCCTGAGCATCACCCTGCACCTGTTGTCCCAGCAACAAGGGAAAAATAAGGTGAGTATTTTCCATTTCAGTCTAGAAGGCATAGCCTGCAAGGGAAGGAAGTGTGCTGGGAGATGGAGCAGGGCTTTTGTCTGGAAAACAGGATTCTGGTCTAGAAACTAAGTCAGTGCCAATGCAATGCAGGGAAGGGGAAATCATCACTGGGTCATGGGCTGCACTCGTGGAGAAGGAATGGAGGTCAAGACCATAAACCAGCCCCTAACTGCTTCTCATTTAATGTAATCCTCACTGTTCATCATTGTTGGTTTGAATAAAGTCATGAAATCTTTTTTTTTTTTTTTTGAGACAGGTCTATTGCTCAGGCTGGAGTGAAGTGGTGCAATTGTGGCTCACTGCAGCCTTGAATACCTCAGCTCAAACGATCCTCCCACCTCAGCCTCCTGAGTAGCTGGGACCACAGGCATGTGCCACCACACTCAGCACACTTAAAAAAAATTTTTGTAGAGACAGGTTCTCCCTATGTTGCTCAGGCTGGTCTCCTGGCCTCAAGCAATCCTCTTGCTTCAGCCTCCCAAAGTGTTGGGATTATAGGCATAAGCCATTCACACCCAGCCTATTTTTAAGTTCTCTAATATAATTTGGAAATTAATTTGCCAGCTGCCCTGTCTTATCTGCATGAACATTTCCAAGATTTGTAGAGGTGTTTCTATGACACCTCCATGCCTGTGATCATGTATAAGATGTAGCTGATTGAATTACCTTATTCTGTTCAGAAATAGTAAATATAGTGTTTTCACCAACTCTGTGCACAGAATATACCAAATGGAGACCATAAGTGTGTCATGACAGAAAAAATCTATTGTCTCTTTATTATGGTGAGACTCCTTTCCCTCATGAAATCAGCAAAGAAAAGTAAATGAATTTAGCTTTTTGTGTTAGAAAAAAACATTATGCTCTTCAGCGGTTTTCAGAATTGCATTATTTTTGATCTTTCCTCTTGTTTAAGAATGTTTTCATGTCATCCCCAGGCTCAGTGCTCATGTTGGTACTATTTTGGGTCAATGTATAATCATTACCTCCAGTTTTTCTTGTGCATAATGGACTTGAGTTTTAATATAGTGAACCATCCTGACATTGAAATACTGTATTTGATATTTTCATATTCACAAGTCCTCATTTTCTTTCTACACTCATGGTAATTTAGTTTCTCCTCTGCAGTGTTTTCCCTCCTACTTGTTTTCCTGCTCCCTTGCTTAGCACATGGTCATTCCATTATGCCCTCCTTCTTGGTTAAGATGGAAAAGAACCTCCTCTTTTAATTCCATTTGTGCATTTAAGAAATTCCATTTGGTTGTATATAATTATTCTTCTAAGATTATGCTAAGATCAGCACATCTATATTTTACTTGGATCTCTGATCACTATAGATGATATTTGCCTATAAAACAAGCATTGGTGTTTTCAATCACAATCAAAAAGAAAAAATTCAAAACGATTCTTTTAAAAACTCACAAGAGATACAAAAATATTTTTTAAATACATGGATTGTCTTAAAAATTATTTCTCTCTGTTGCTATGACAGCATAGTGGTCAAGTCCATTGTCAGCTTCTGACACTGCCTCTTACAAGGAGGTGACTTTGGAAATGTCATTCAGCCTTCCTGTGCCCGAAATCACCTCACCTGTCAAATGGGAACAATAAAGCACTTCAAAGAATTGTTGTAAAAGTTCTATGTAAAACACTGTTACAGCACTCTTATGCTGGGAATATATATCTATACACACATATATTTTTATAGCGAAACTCTCAGGAAGAGGAAAATGAAGTTTAATAGGAAATTAATGGCTTGAAAACAATGGTACATGGAAAAGAGTGGCTTTCAGTTGCCATAGTACAACAGGCCTCTTGTTTTCACGCCAGATCCTCTCACTCTGAATAGGATGATCAGTCATTGAAAAAAGAAAAATGGCCTCCAGGGATGTGGCAATAGGAATGATCTTCTTATCTCAGACCACAGTAGGATTCCTGGGCAATTGCTTTGTTCTTCACCATTATAGTTATTTATTTCACCAGATGCACATTAAGGTCCACAGATCTGATTCTGCAGCACCTGACTGTAGCCAACTCCTTGGTCATTCTCTCTAAAAAATGCTCCTATCCTTGTCAATGCTTGGTATTGGAAATCCTTTTAATTTAAGTCATTCTGGTGGTAGTTTTATTATCTCATTATAATTTCAATGTCCACGATACAGCTATTTTTTTTTTTTTTTTGAGACAGAGTCTGACTCTGTTGCCCAGGCTGGAGTGCAGTGGTGCCATCTCGCTCACTGCAACCTCTGCCTCCCAGGTTCAAGTGTTTCCTGTGCCTTGGCCTCCTTAGTAGCTGGGATTATAGGTGTGCACCACCAAGCCCAGGTAATTTTTGTATTTTTAGTAGAGATGGGGTTTTGTCATGTTGCCCAGGCTGGTCTCCAACTCCTGGCCTCAAGGGATCCACCCGCCTCGACCTCCCAAAGTGTTGAGATTACAGGCATGAGCCACTGTGCTCAGCCATGACATAGCTATTAATATAGAACTTTTCATGTGGGCCTATAGGTCAATCTAGGAATTTGCCCTTTCAGAGGCTATTCATATTTATATGCATATTGGTGCATGGCAGGGGTTGGTGTATACACCTTGGTGTATGGCTGAGCCATAAATGGAGCATACCTGAGAATAACCCTATTCTAAGTGTGTTTGGAGTCCCAGGCTAAGGAATCCAGGAGTAGCCAACACTGAGATTCACTACTTACCTATGAAGGACAGCCATACCCCTGCCCCATCCCTTGGAACACAGCCTGTACAGGTGATCAAGGCCCTTTATTTTGGGTTAAATGGAGACTGCTAGAAGGAGGGTTCTAAGTGAAAATGCGATATGCTATATGGACTACATGCTTTTTTTTTTTTATACAAACGGTAGCGTTTCTCCAGGCCAGCCCACCACCACTGGACCACCCCTGTATGTAACTCCTGAATAAACGTTATGTTTCCTTCACTGGTTCTGCCTCTCCTATAGTGTCATCCCAATCGGAATCAATGGGGATCCGGAAGGACAACCGGCCATTTAGATAACATTTGAAAATTAACCAATGTAATTGGTCACATTGTAACATTATTATTAAAATATTATTTTAAAATTATTATTATATAACAGTAACATATTATTATTAAAAATACATATGAACATTTCAATAAAGGTAGAAAAAGCACTTGATATTGAATGCTTTCCTCTTGATTTTACAACCAAGACAAGGAAGTCCATTATCACTATTTCTATTCAATAGTGGACATACTAGCCAGCAACAAAACTAAAAGGTATAAAGATTACAGGAAAGTTAAACCATCTCTATTCACAGACTGCAAGATTGTAATCACATAAATTCCAAAAGACTCTACAGACTCTACAGTCCCACGGCAGCCCCTTCCTCCGCGCCGCGGCGGCGCCTCCGGCCCACGTCACGCTCGCGCCATTGTTTCCCAGCCGCTGCTCGCTGGGACCCCGCCAGCCCTCGAGCGCGGCCATTCGCCGCGTTCTGCCCTCTCCCCCCTTTCCTCACGCTGGTGGTGGCCCTTTCCTCAGTCCTGCTGATGTCCTCCAGCTGATTCCAGGCTGTTCCCGGCCACCCCTGAGGCCGTCCTTTCGCTTCTTGTAAAAGCCTCCCCGCCTCCTGAGCTCCCTCGGTCGCCTCCCGAGAAGCCAACGGGCCTCTCTGGTGGAGCGTTAGGTTGACAGCGTTTTAGCAGGACCGCGAGAAACCGGGGAGATCCTCTTACGAGGAAAAACTCCAAGATTACATCCCTGTTATCTTTCCTCCAAGTAGTTTCTGATCATAAGTTATTTGTTTAAAAATGATGTTTTAATTAGAATTTATTTGATGGCTTTTAAAAAACTTTTACTGACACTCAACATGTTTGTTTTTGTAGGAGCTGACTAAGGCTTTGGAACAGAAACCAGATGATGCACATATATTATCGTCAAAGAGCTTATTGTCACATTCTTCTTGGGAATTACTGTGGTAATTTTTCTTATAAAGTATATTGCCCCTTTTTAATAAGTTACTTATACATTTTACCCATGACCAATTAATCAAATAAAATAAAGGTTGTCTTTGAGGATTTTTGAGTTGGTCTTTCATACAAGGTAAAGTAGCTCAAGTGTGACAGACATGTTGAGCAACACCTATTTAAATTTTATGGATGTCTCTTTTTTCGTTCAGTGGGTGGATAATGTATATAGGTTTCATTCGTAGTTATTGAGTAGGCTGATAAAGAATAGTATCACATTTACTGTTTAACAGAGTATTAAAATGACATGCTCTTCTTTGTATTTTTTTATAAAAAAGAATGTGGCATGGTGGCTCACGCCTGTAATCCCAGCACTTTGGGAGGCCAAAGCGGGAGGATCACATGAGCCCAAGAGTTCGAGTCTAGCCTGGACAACATAGCAAGACCCTATCTATATTAAAAAAATAATGTATTCCTGTACTGTGTAACTTTAAAAATTATTCTGATGAAGAATCTGGATAGGGAAAAACTGAATATCTTTTTTTTTTTAGATGGAGTTTTGCTCTTATTGCCTAGGCTGGAGTGCAGTGGCACAATCTCATCTCACTGCAGCCTCTGCCTCCTAGGTTCAAGTGATTCTCCTGCTTCAGCCTCCCAGGTAGCTGGGACTACAGGTGTATGCCACTATGCCTGGCTAATTTTGTATTTTTAGCAGAGAGGGGGTTTCACCATGTTGGCCAGGCTGGTCTCAAACTCCTGACCACAGGTGATCCACCCACCTCAGCCTCTCAGAGTGCTGGGATTACAGGCGGGAGCCACTGCACCCCGCCAAATTACATAAGTGATGCTAATGAGAAAAGGAGATGAATTTTGTCACACAGCTTTATTCACTGACCGAAGAGCTTTAAGAAGAAAGCTAAATGTTAAGCCAAAAGGAAGGTACAAGAGTAATATTTATTTGAATTCTGTGTTGGATTAGCTTTTCCTAATTTAAAACCATTTGGCGTTTCTATTAACTCGAAAACTTGGAAATCTAAAACTGATCAGTATTCTGTGTGTGTTTGCTAGAATCTGTAAATAACTGACAAAAAACATCTTTTTCTTTCTTTCTTTTTTTTTTTTTGAGACGGAGTCTCACTCTGTTGCCCAGGCTGGAGTACAGTGGCGCAGTCTTGGCTCACTGCAACCTCTGCCTCCCAGGTTCAAGCGATTCTCCTGCCTCAGCCTCCTGAGTAGCTAGGACTACAGGCGCGTGCCACTGCATCCGGCTAATTTTTAATTTTTTTTTTCATAGAGACGGGGTTTCACTGTGTTAGCCAGGCTGGTCTCGATTTCTTGACCTCGTGATCCACCTGCCTCGGCCTCCCAAAGTGCTGGGATTACACGCGTGAGCCGCCATGCCCAGCCAGAAACGCATCTTTTTCTACATAGTTGCTGTTGCTGATGCAAAGAAGTCTCGCGAATTCAATCCAAATAATTCCACTGCTGTGCTGAGAAAAGGGTATGCAATAGCTACTCTTTTTGTTGAGCTTGGACTGTAAATAGGAGATGTGTAATTTGTTGAATGAGTTCAGTGTAAGCTTTATAAGTAGTAAAATTCTGTATTTATAGCAGAGATATGATTCAATTTTAAATATGAAGTTATAGTTCTATTATTTTGTTAACCATAGTATGTGATGGAGATCTATACTTAATATATTTAAAAATAGCGATGATTGAAATAACTGCAAGGTATAGATGAAACTGATGGATTTCACATTCTTTTTTTATTTAAAATTTGGAATTTACCATATTTAACTGACTAGAGGACATCCTATTCTTCAACCAAGCTGAATGGGCTACGCTTAATGGTGTGAAAGCTCTGTATCTATGTGCTTTATATCCCAACTTGTTTCTGTTGATAAGTGTAACTTTATTCTTTAAGTAAGAAACTGCTTTAATTCCTTTGTATGTATTTTGGAATAAGCAGGTATGTACAATTAAAGTGAAATTCCTTCTGAAGTAAGTTCTAAAATTGAATTTTACTGGAAATTGTACTAGATGTTAACAGTATTTTAGAAAGTCTCTTGGCTTACTAACATATACTTAAAAATAAATTTTTTCTTTCAACAATAGAAAATACTAAGATGTTTTCATTTAGAAAGAAGGCTATTTTCCAGATCTTGTATGTGTGTTAATTTGTTTTAAATATGTTCATGCAGGATATGTGAATACCATTTAAAAAACTATGCTGCTGCTCTAGAAACTTTTATAGGAGGACAAAAATTAGTAAGTATTAAATTATGGTTTTATAAACTTACCTATTTCTGTCTTAAATACCAAAGCTGAATTTTGTTAATGTTAATCTCAAGTTAATTACAGAAACCCAATACCTGTTTTTCTCACCGTAATTACATTTCATATTGATCGCAGATATGAGATCACTTAAAATTGGTTAAATTAGCCTTTTAGCATTTAAACCACAGATAAACTTACCATTAGAAGTAAAAAACTATATGGAAACACTTAACATGCTCTCTCTACTTAGTCTGGCTTTGTTTTTTTCTTTTCTTTATTTTATTTTATTTTTTTTTTTGAGACAGTCTCGCACTGTCACCCAGGCTGGAGTGCAGTGGCGTGATCTTGGCTCACTGCAACCTCCGCCTCCTGGGTTCAAGTGATTCTCCTGCCTCAGCCTCCCGAGTGGCTGGGACTACAGGCGTGTGCCACCATGCCCAGCTAATTTTTGTATTTTTAGTAGAGGTGGGGTTTCACAATGTTGGCCAGGATGGTCTCGATCTCTTGACCTCGTGTTCCACCCGCCTCGGCCTCCCAAAGTGCTGGAATTACAGGTGTGAGCCACCGGCGCCTGGCCTGGCTTTGTTTTTTCTAATGGAGAAATGAAAGTTTAATTTGCTTTCTTGGTCAGAAGTCTGTTCATTTTAAGTTATTAAGAATGCTGAGATGGGAAATCTTAACAATAAGGTTTTTATGGAGAAGTGAAGTGTACATTTGGATAAATTATGAGAGAGTACAGAAGAAACCCAGCGTTTTGAGAGTATTGTTAGTTTTTAATGTTATATTTTTGAGGGGAATATATGAAAATTATCACAGCATTGTGGATATTTAGACATATATAGGAATTGTGAGAGCAAGAATTTTAAAATCGGAAAAATACTAAGAGGTTGTGAGTAATCCCAGGAAATTGTAGACTACATAATCCTACTTGTACTATTATTTTATCTTTATGTTATGATAGAGTTTTATCACAATTCTGTAAAGCAGTGGTTCTTAACTGGAAACAATTGTGTCCCAGGAAACTTTAGGCAATGTTTGAAGAGATTTTTGATTATCATGATTGGTGGATGGGGGATGAGCTACTGACATCTAATGAGTATAAACCAGGAGGTGCTACGAAACAGCCCATAATGGCCAGGACAGTCCTGCCCAACAGAGAAGTATCTGGTTCAAAACGTCAGTAGTGCTGAGTTAAGAAACTCTGCTCTTACGTATTATGTGTTAAATTCTAACTCTGTACTGCTTTGAATGTTTGCTTTTCTGCTGTATACCTACTCAAAAAAGGGATTTTAGGCCTGATTACACAAATGGAAGCTACAAATTAGGAAAGGAAAGGACTGGGTGACAGGGCTTATTGTCAAATTTGCTTATCCCAGTTTCAGTTTTGGTATGTGAATAATAGGGTTATTCAGTCAGGAAGACAGCATATCTACACTCCTAGGAAATTCCAGAGTCAAGTTATCTAGTGCCTTGATACATACTTGAAACCCCTGAAAAAACATGAGTCATACCATCTTCTACATTTTCTTTTTTTTGAGACAAGGTCTCACTCTGTTGCCCTGGCTGGAATGCAGTGATGTGATCTTGGGTCACTGCAACCTCCGCCTCCTGAGCTCAAGTGATTCACCCACCCCAGCCCCCCAAGTCACTGGGGCTATAGGCACGTGCCACCACATCTGACGAAATTGTGCTTTTTTTTCACAGAGACAGGGTTTCGCCCTGTTACAAAGGCTGGTCTTGAACTCCTGGGCTAAAGTGATCCACCTGCCTCAGCCTCCCAAAGTGTTGGGGTTACAGGCGTGAGCCTTCATGCCTGACCTCATCCTCTGCATTTCTAGGCCTTATTACTTTTAAGAGCAATAGAAAAGTTTCCTGCCTAAATTCTTTTCTTTTTTTTTCTTCTTTTTGGACCTGGGGGCACAGAGCCTTACTCTTTCACCCAGACTTGAGTGCAATGGCACCATTATAGTTCACTGCAGCCTTGAATTCCTGAGCTCAAGCTGTCCTTCTGCCTCTGCCTCCTGAGTAGCTGGGAATACAGGCACGTGCCATCACACTAAGCTAATTAAACATTTTTGTGTAGAGATGAGGTCTTGCTACATTACCCAGACTGGTCTCTGAACTCCTGGCCTCAAATGATCCTACTGCCTTGGCCTTCCAAAGCTCTGGCATTACAGACATGAGCCACTGCACTTGGCCCCTAAATTCTTTTCTTGAGTTTTCTTTCTTTCTTTCTTTCCCTTCTTTCATTTTCTTTCCTTCCTTTCCTTCCTTCCTTTCTTTTTTTTTTTTTTTTTTTTTTTGAGACAGAGTCTCGCCCTGTCTCCCAGCCTGGAGTGCAGTGGTGCATTCTCGGCTCACTGCAACCTCTGCCTCCTGGGTTCAAGTGATTCTCCTGCCTCAGCCTCCAGAGAAGCTGGGATTACAGGTGCGTGCCACCACAACCAGTTAATTTTTTTGTCTTTAGTAGAGATGGGGGTTTCACCATGTTGGCCAGGCTGGTCTCAAACTCCTGACTTCGTGATCCACCCGCCTCAGCCTCCCAAAGTGCCGGGATTACAGATGTGAGCCACTGCGCCCGGCCGAATAATATCTTAATATCATGCCATTGACATTTATTCTGTAATTACTTCAGAGGTGGCCTTCAGAAGAAGGCCTCTTTGGTAAAATTGCTATTGAGGATATTTCACTAAAAAACAAATTTATCTTTAAATTCAAATCCAGGAAAAATTTAAGTTAAACTTTTAGGCTTCTATTTTTATCAGACAGGGTACAAAATTTATAACTCAGAATATTACCTTTTCCCCTCTTTGTGTGATAGACTGCTTGGTTTTAGTTACTGATTATTTAAAATAATAAGTTATTCAAACCCTCTTCCCTAGAATATAGTGTGTGTGAGAGAGTATATTTAAAATTTTTATTAAGGTCCATGTAGTTGTATTTCTTTTATAAATTAGTAAATTAGAAAATTTTGTTTTAAGAGATTTTTAGTTTAAAATTTCCAGATTACTCTTGGCTGGAGTTAACTTGAATTAGTAGGCTTTTATTTAGAGTACTTTCAAGGTTTTTAACGTATTTCACTATGCACTGTGTATAAATGTAATCATTGTTCTGTGTCTCCAGAAATGAATAATTTGTTTATGCATACATTTACACTATTATCTGTAAGTATATAATTTATCACCTGTAGCCTTTTGACCCCCATGTAACTTGGATATATGAGAAAACTTCACAGAATTTAAAGATACTTCTTGGTGTTGGTAGGAAAGGGATGGGAACAGATAAAGCCACTGAGAGAATAGTGGACTGAATAGGTAGCCGCATTGAAGAGCGAGTTGGGACTGGGAAAGGCTTATGGACCTCAACTCAGCTCCCAGTTACCAAGCCTCCTCCCCACCCTAACTAATGGCATTTTGGGAGTCTGATTTAGATCTGACTTTGTTGTGTGGGTGAGGAAGCTTCTCTAAGGGCAGAGGGATTGAGGGAAATGTACATTATTTATATCTATGAAATTAGTGAGGTTGACTGTAGTTAAAATTAATTTTAAAAAATCAAAATGTTTCAGGATGAAGAACTAAATGTTAAACTATTGGTATGTTTATAGCTATAACAGAGTTTGCCATAAGTTCTGTTAAGACAGGTTTTATTCACTGCTGACTCCCCAGTGCCTAGAACAGTGCCTGGGATGCAGTAGGTATTTAATAAGTATTTGCTGATTAATAGGTTATGCAGATGAGTGATGTGATAGGTTTTTCTTTCTAGGTGCAGATGCTAATTTCAGTGACTGGATTAAAAGGTGTCAAGAAGCTCAGAATGGTATGTAGATCTCCCTTGGTATTTCAATTTAAAAAGAAGCAAACATTTGAAATTTTTTGGTTTAAACAAATTTGTTTTTACCTTTATAATTTATTTTAAATAGTACATGTTTCCTTAAATGTAGACTTCCAAAAATATACTGTTTTTTGCCTAGCTTCTTAGGTTGAAAAGGAGATTTGGGTGGATTGCTGGTATGGCATATCAGTGAGAAACTACTAAGGAGTCTAGGCTGGGCACGGTGGCTCACGCCTGTAATCCCAGCATTTTGGGAGGCTGAGGCGGGCGGATCACGAGGTCAGGAGATTGAGACCATCCTGGGCAACATGGTGCAACCCCGTCTCTGCTAAGAAAATACAAAAATTAGCCGGGCGTGGTGGTGCGTGCCTGTAGCCCCAGGTACTCGGGAGCTAAGGCAGGAGAATCGCTTGAACCCGGGAGGCGGAGGTTGCAGTGAGCTGAGATCACGCCACTGCACTCCAGCCTGGGCGACAGAACGAGGCTCTGTCTCAAAAAAAGAAATTACTAAGGAGTCTAAAATGAATTCAGGAGGCAAAATGAACCCACTTTTCTTTAGTTGAAAGGTATGGAGAATTGGCTTGCTTAATCAGTATGTTTGTGCAATAAAAATCATATAAATACCTTTGCCTTTAAATGTGCTGTTAACTGAAAATGCTTCCTTTTTATGTTTTAATAGGCTCAGAATCTGAGGTGGTAAGTCCAGAGTTTTCATTCTTCATGTTTTTACTTACTTAGGTTAAATTTCAAGTACCAAGTATATTTGAGACAGGACACAGGATGAACTCTTTGTCAGTTAAATACTAAGCAATTCCATTTAAGTACTGGTTCCTCTAGGAACTGAAATAAAACCATTTTTTCATAAATATGGAAGTTTCTAGTCATGAAATTTATTGGGCTATTTTAATGAATTTATTGTGTGGTTCAAATCTATTTGGTATGTTTTAGTATGGTCAAAATGATTATTTATCTGTTCCTTACTAAAACCTTATTACATTTATTTAGGTCCAACAGTTTGAATCACTTGTAGGGCTTTTTATGATAGGCTAAGACAAAAGTTAAGGAAAATTGGAAATGTTTATCTTTAATTCAGTATAATGTTTATTGTTTTGGGCATGAAGACCTTCAAGTCTTTTCAGTTATTAAAAATTATGGTGGAATTGAATAAAAGTAACTTTTAGTTTTTTTTTTTTTTAAAGACAGGGTCTTGCTCTGTTACACAGGCTGGAGTGCAGTGGTGCCATCATAGCTCACTGCAGCCTCAAACTCCTGGGCTCAAGCAGTCTTCCTACCTCAGCCTCCCAAGTAGCTGGGACTACAGGTGCATGTCACCCCACCAAGCCCCCTAATATATTCTATTTCTTTAAAAAGCTTTTTAGGCTGGGTGCAGATTCTTATGCCTGTAATCCCAGCACTTTGGGAGGCTGAGGCAGGCAGATCAGTTGAGGTCAGGAGTTCAAGACCAGCCTGGCCAACATAGTGAAACCCTGTCTCTACTAAAAATACAAAAATGAGCCAGATGTGGTGGTAGGCACCTGTAATCCCAGCTACTCAGGAAGCTGAGGTGGGAGAACCCCTGGAGCCCAGGAGGTGGAGGTTGCAGTGACCCAAAATCATGCCACTGTACTGCAGTCTGGGTGACAGAGCGAGACTCTGTCTTAAAAAAAAAAAAAAGAGAAAAAAGGACACACTACCATAAAGATGAATCTGCTTTTTTGTTTTGTTTTGTTTTGTTTTTTAATTACGCTAAATATTATGTTACTTCATTATGAGGGAACAATGAAAAATTACAGTTTAAGTAACTAAGTTTTAGATTCCTTTATATTTTCAAAAAGAAATAAAGCTATACAATAGAATTAATATTCAGAGAATATTTAACTATCACTCAAAATATGTAGATAATAGCCAGGCGTGGTGGCTCACACCTGTTAATACCACCACTTTTGGAGGCTGAGTTGGGCAGATCACCTGAGGTCAGGAGTTATACACCAGCCTGGCCAACATAGCGAAACCCTTTCTCCAGTAAAAATACAAAAATCAGCTGGTCGTGTTGGCACGCGCCTGTAATCCCAGCTACTGTGGAGGCTGCAGCAGAAGAGTCACTTGAGCCTGGGAGATGGAGGTTGCAGTGAGCTGAGATCATGCCACTGCACTCCAGCCTGGGTGACAGAGTGAGACTCTGCCTCAATTAAAAAAAATGTAGATAATAGTGTAATTTAGTAAGAAAAGTACTGAACTGAAAATCAAGAAATCTGACTCTGGATCTTTGCTAGCCCTGAGAATTTAGTCTAGGCACAAAATGACTATGACTAAATTTTTAGTACCTTTGAAAGGAAGTCCGTGGACCAAATGAGCTCTGGAGTCCTTTCAGCTGTAAAATTATATGAAGGTATAATGATAAATGAGTTCAGGCGAATAAATGATATAGGTAGGCTTTTTCCATGGCTACTCCTTTTTTATGTTTAATTAATTAATTAATTTTTGAGACAGAGACTCTCTCTGTTGCCCAGGCTGGGGTGCAGTGGCCCAGTCTCAGCTCACTGCAACATCTGCCTCTCTGGTTCAAGCGATTCTCCTCTCTCAGCCTCCTGAGCAGCTGGGATTACAGGCATGCGCCACCATGCATGGCTAATTTTTGTATTTTTAGTAGAGATGGGGTTTCACTATGTTGGCCAGGCTGGACCCAAACTCCTCACCTCAAGTGATCTGCCCGTCTCGGCCTCCCAGTGTGGGTGACAGTGAGACTCTGCCTCAATTTTTTTAAAAAATGTAGATAATAATGTAATTTAGTAAGAAAAGTACTGAACTGAAAATCAAGATATCTGACTCTGGATCTTGGCTTGCCCTGTGAACTTAGTCTAGGCACAAAATGACTATGACTAAATTCACAGTACCTTTGAAAGGAAGTCCGTGGACCAAATGAGCTCTGGAGTCCTTTCAGCTATAAAATTACATGAAGGTATAATGGTAAATGAGTTAATGTGAATAAATGATATAGGTAGGCTTTTTCCATCACTACTGATTTTTTTAATGTTTTATTTATTTATTTATTTGTTTATTTATTTATTTTTGAGACAGAGTCTCTCTGTTGCCCAGGCTGGAGTGCAGTGGTACAATCCCAGCTCACTGCAACCTCCACCTCCTGGGTTCAAGTGATTCTCCTGCCTCGGCCTTCTGAGTAGCTGGGACTACAGGTGCCTGCCACCATGCCCAGCTGATTTTTATATTTTTGACAGAGATGGGATTTCACCATTGTTGGCCAGGCTGGTCTCAAACTTCTGACCTTAAGTGATCCACCTGCCTTGGCCTCCCAAAGTGCTGGGATTGCAGGTGTGGGCCACGGCACCCGGCCACTACTCCTTTTTATACAAAGTCCTGCAGCAAACTGTGTTACTATTTATTAAGTTAAAGTTCTAAGGACATGTGAAGTTTCCTGTTGTGGAATAGGATCAGGGATGGCCTGTGTCATGAAGAATGGTAAGTAACTGGGCCTGCAGAAAGGAGACAGGTTCGGAGGGTTGGAGCAGGAAGTGCAAAGTGAAGTAGTTTTTTGCATCTAGCTAAGAAGGATCTGCCTATTTATTCATTTAAAGATTGTGAAGAACAGAGCTGGTTAATTATGAGGCAGATTTATGAAATAGCTGCTTGGGACAATAGAAAGTGAGAAAAGGGATGAAATCTTATCAAGTTTTTTTGTTTTTTTTGTTTGTTTGTTTTGTTTTTTTGAGACAGAGTTTCGCTCTTGTTGCCCAGGCTGGAGTGCAGCGGCATGATCTCAGATCATTACAACCTCCACCTCCTCGGTTCAAGCAATTCTCCTGCTTCAGCTTCCTGTGTAGCTGGGGTTATAGGCACACGCCACCATGCCTGGCTAATTTCTGTATTTTTAGTAGAAACGGGGGTTTCACCATGTTGACCAGGCTGGTCTCGAACTCCTGATCTCAGGTGATCCACCCACCTTGGCCTCCGAAAGTGCTGAGATTACAGGCGTGAGCTACCATGCCCGGCCCTTACCAGGATTTTGGTCTGCCTCTGGTCCTGTCCACATTGTGTAGAATTTGTTTAATAAAATAATTTTGAGTAATCAAGCACAAAACTCTAGGTGGATTTGAAAGGGAGATATTTCCGAAAATTATAAATTTGATTTTTTGGTGTATGTCTATCAAGAGATTGGTAATGCATGTCCATTTGAAGTAATTTGAGTGTGAATTAATGATAAATGACTTAAGAGCTTGTATTACTTAGCCATCTCATATATTGGTGGAAGAATAGCATGTGTGATAAATACACAGATCTGTGTGGCTAGAGTTGAGGATGTAATTAAGCACTCTCATCTCTCATTCTTTTTTCTGTTTTGTATCTTGCGTTTGTTGATTTTAACCATTCTTCAGTCCTACTTAGTATGTTCTCAGTTTGCCTTTCTTCCCCTTTCCTCTTTAAATGCTAAACAACTACTTTTCTTCCTTGTATAGTAGTTCGTTTATGTATACATTTCATATCCCTCATTCCTATGTAAGTCTCTGAGGTTAAGAAGCATGACTTTTTTTTTTTTTTTTTTTTTTTTTTGAGACAGAGTCTCACTGTGTCGCCCAGACTGGAGTGCAGTGGCACGATCACGGCTCACTGCAAGCTCCGCCTCCTGGGTTCATGCCATTTTCCTGCCTCAGCCTCCCGAATAGCTGGGGCCACAGGCACCTGCCACCATGCCCGGCTAATTTTTTGTATTTTTAGTAGAGACAGGGTTTCACCGTGTTAGCCAGGATGGTCTCGATCTCCTGACCTCGTGATCCGCCCACCTCGGCCTCCCAAAGTGCTGGGATTACAGGCATGCGCCACTGCACCCGGCCAGAAGCATGTCTTATTTGTATGTTTGTATGTGCCCCAGTTAGGGTTCACAGATGAAGTACAGCATGCTCAATTAAGTTTGTATTTTTGATAAACAATGAATTATTTATTTAGGTTTTTTTTTTTTTTTTGAGACAGAGTCTCACTCTGTCGCCCAGGCTGGAGTGCAGTGGCCCAATCTTGGCTCACTGCAACCTCTGCCTCTCTGGTTCAAGCGATTCTCCTTTCTCAGCCTCCTCAGTAGCTGGGATTACAGGCATGTGCCACCACACGTGGCTAATTTTTGTATTTTTAGTAAAGACGGGGGTTTCACTATATTGGCCAGGTTGGATTCGAACTCCTGACCTCAAGTGATTCACCCGCCTCAGCCTCCCATATGTTGGGATTATGGGCGTGAGCCACTGCACCTGGCCTATTTTTTTATTATATAAGTGTGTTCTGTGTTGCATTTTTGTTTGCTAAACTTGGCAGCCCTTGCCATGTGTATTGCACAGTGGGTGCTTAGTTCAGTGAATCAATCAAAATTGGGTTCTAGTTTTAGTCCTGTGACACTGGCAGAGTATTTTTATTCTTAGTTTTGAAGGTGGAAAAAAATCTGAAGTTAATGGACTCTAAATCTTTCCCCAAGGTTACCTAGTTAACTAATTGCTCAGCCTGGCCCAGGACACATACATACACTTGACTCCCAACCAAACTAGTATGCCTTTGCTTAGTTTTTTCCCAAGTTTTGAATTGAAGAACTTAGATTCTAAGGATTTGTTCTAAAGGATGATTATTTTTCTTGTCCTGTCCCTGGAATCTCCATATTTTATACATACATACATACATACATATATATATATATATATATATATATATATATATATATATGTATAATATATATACACACATATATAATATATATTATATATATTAATAATATGTAATATATATATATATACACACACACACAAACAATCTTGTTAGATTACTAACTCTAAAAACTATTTGGGGGAAAACAAATTGAAAGAAGTTTTCTTAATTATGTCTTAAGGGAAATAAATGGTAAAAATCTTTCAATTTCCTTTTTTGTACAGTAGAGGGAGACAGTATTAGAATACTGAAAATAAAATCTGTGGGTTACTGAGGCTTACTTTGTGGACACTAAGAGAGAACAGTACTAAAATAATTTGCTCTCCATGTATTCAGATATCTTGATTGTATTTCACTGTTCGGATATCTTGGACCTTTGTGCCTTAAGAAAAGATGCATTTTGCTGGGGAGAATCTGCTTAGTATTAGAGCTTCTGTAAAATTTGCAGCTTAAAAGGGTGATTTCTGTGCTTTTGAGAATTCTCTTTTCTTTCCCACCTTCAAGGTTGAATGAATGTTGCATGTCCATGTGTAGTCGGTGGTTAAATGTTATTAATTTGAGTGATAAATAATTTGCGATGAAAGTAGGAAGAGAAAGAGGTAAAACCCTGAAATTAATGAAATAGCATTTCTTAACTGTTTTACAATATAATATCTAATATGTTTTTCCAAGCCAGGATTCATATTTTTTCAGTATCTCTGATAGTTATTTCTACCTTTTGCTGAATATAACTTTCATGTTAGCCTATTAATTTTTTAGAAATTAAGAAACTATAATTTTGTATTTCTTCTTGTTAATTTAATGACACTCTTCTCTGGTCACAGTCTCAGAATTGTGACTTTAGTGTCACCTATATTGTGAAATATTCATTTTAAAAATTAGTTTTTTTTTTTTTGAGACGGAGTCTCACTCCGTTGCCCAGGTGGAGTGCATTGGCATGATCTCGACTCACTGCAACCTCCGCCTGCTGGGTTCAAGCAATTCTCTTGCCTTAGCCTCCTGAGTGGCTGGCACTACTACAGGCACACACCACCATGCTCAGCTAATTTTTTGTATTTTTAGTAGAGATGGGCAGGCTGGTCTCGAACTCCTGACCTCATGATCTGCCCGCCTCAGCCTCCCAAAGTGCTGGAATTATAGGCATGAGCCACCGCGCCTGACATTAATTTTTATTCCTTTTAAGAATTAGAATTCTCAGTCTTTTGGGGTGAATTTGCCCTTGTGGAAATGTTGTTTTCTTCCTATTTTTAGTCAGAATAATTTTTCTGTATTAAACAATACAAAATGTGAAAGCCTGGAATTGTGGGAATTAAAAATGTATGTCTTAGAAACAAAATAGCCTCCTTTTCTCTCACTAAAATTTGAGAAGTTTTAAAGTAATCCCTTTTTTTAATGTTCAGAGAAGAATATTTGTATGTTAAAGAATCCTGGTGATAATGTAATGGAATGGGGTATCTGGGCATGATGCTCCTGCTTATCTGAATACATATATATGGGAATTTTAAAAATTGTTGCGTTAACATCTTGCTTCATACAGTGGTGGTGATAATAGTGAGAATTGTTTAATTTTTTTTTAACTGAGTTAGTTAAAAAAAATCCACAAATTGTAGATCTTGGAATGTATTCTTGTTACTTTTCATATATTTTGTAACATATATTTATATATTTTTAAAGAAGACTTTTACTCTACATAATTTTTAAACAGCTATACATTGTCAATATTTTTATCATGTCCTTACATATTCAACAGCAAAGTATTTCGTCATATGCATGCACTGTACCTTATTTAGCCAGCTCCATTTTGTTTGTCCTGTGGATAATTATAATAGCTGTTTTGACTGTTTTACCACATGCCAGGCACTGTACTGTGTATTATCTCATGTAATTCTCATAGTTACTGCATGGTGTAGGTATTTTTATCCCCAGTTTACAGGTAGAGAAACTGAACTCAGAGATGTTAAATAATTTGTCCAGGTTTTTCGGATTATACTGATGAAGCTACTGATAACATTCTGTTGTCAGTTATTTGCCAGAAAGAGTTCTTTATTTTTCTTATACATAATATCATTTATTCTTGAGAACCCTAAATGAGTTATTCTTGGGAACCTAAATGAGTTAGGGCCTACTAAGTCATTTGCAATACAATGCAATAGGAGAAACTGAGGCTCGCTGAGATTAAGTTGCTTGCTTATGGTTATACATCCAACAAATGGCATCTATTTCCGACTCTTTCTGTTTACACAACTGATTGTTTTTGTCCCAACCCCTGCTTATTTCTGAGGAAATAAGTAAAAATTCTAGCTGAAAAATACATTTCTAGCAAATTTTTTCATATTTTGACTCCCTCTTCTCTGAAATACGGATAACAGTCTTTTTTTAATAGGGTGATTTTATTAAGTGAGATAATGCATGTGAAGCATGTAGCACACAGGGTATATAATAGTCAATAAATGTTACTAGTACTATTTCTATTATTTTATTTTGGTTATTTAGATTTTTATTCGGGCTGTAAAAGCAGTAAATGCGTATTATACCATATCATAGAAAATCTGGAAAAGATAAAGGAACTTAGGAAGTAATCACTCAGACTCACCACTGATGACATTTTAGCCTGTTTCCCTCGGGATAACTCATTATTTCCTGATACATAGGTCGATCACTACACATGACACATACTGGAATCTTTTTACTTATGGGAATGTCTCTTCTGATTAATTACTTTAAGAAGAACAGAGGCTGTGTCCTCATGTACCAGCACTGTTTCTAGCTCAGAGTAGGTACTCAGCAAATATTTGAAATGAGCTGTTAGAAGCTTGAGAGAAGACCTTTCAGGTCTTCTCCATTCATTGCCATTTTTTGCATTTAAAAAATGATTATAAAAAGATTTTAGTTTAAAGACAAAGAAGGTAGATGTACTAGTTTGAGCTCAGGAAGACTGAGCTATTATCAGACAAAGGAATTTGATGTAACAATGAAATGTGCAAAGAGCTCAGTAAGAGTGTGTTGGGAAGGTTGCATTCTGTAGATCGGGGGAGCAATTATTTAATGAGTACAGTCTTGAAGTATATGGTTCTCAAAAGTTTGCCAATAAATTGCCCCAGCTCTTTAGTCTGTGGGAAATATCTCTTCTTGTTAGTCTGTAGTGGCAAGTGGAATCTTACTTACCACTTAAGATGGTGGTGTCTGGATATCATGGTTGCTTAACTGTAATGACATCTCTTTAATTTTGAAGTTTCTTTCATTGGAAAAAATTAAACTCTGTGCTATGCAGAGGAGACTTTAGAGGTGGATGGATGGTAATACATATAATGTTGAGAACTAATGATCCAGCACAGTAAGGATTCTTACTGATAACCCATGAATACTCTTTCGGGATATTAACACCTTGAGAGCCTTCCTGGTACATGTGAGAGTAACATTCAAGCAAACTACCAAAGTTTTAAGTTAACTTTTAAAGTATTTTTGACTTAAATGAAAATAGAATGGTTTCTTAATGGGTGCAATAAAAACCTCTGAAATTGGACTAGTGCTAGTTCTAGAACTATCTTCCAGAATCAAGACTTAAAACTTCATTTTTAAAAACATTGAACCATTTGAAAGTGCAAGCATTGAAAGTGAATTAAGTGTAAAAAGGAATTCATAGAAAATTAGCCCCTCCCTTCTTTTCCTTTTTTTTTTCTTTGCTGGGGGAGACAGGGTCTTACTCTGTTGCCTATGCTGGAGTGCAGTGGCACTATCATGGCTCACTGCAGTCTCAACTACCTGGGCTCAAGTGATCCTTCCACTTCAGCCTCCCAAAGTGCCAGGATTACAGGTGTGAGCCACTGCACCCAGCCTCCTTTACCTTTCTAAAAAATATGCTTTAAGTGGTTTATTACATGCAGCTATTTTGGTGAATGATTAAGTACCATTTCAAAAGTGGAGGTCAGCTTGTCTCAGCTGAAACGGGTCATTACTAAGAGCTTTTCCTTTGGCTT